>NC_000010.11:36095647-36399930 GCF_000001405.40 Homo sapiens | reverse complement strand
TGGATTTGAAAAAAATGACTAAAATTGTGGTGAGAATAACTTCCCTGTTTCTCTCATATTTTAGCTATACAAATGTCCAAGAATTTATATTGTTGGAGAATGTTTCCAAACTGCTATGGAGTTCAGAGAATTCAGATTCAGATTCAATAATCTTTGAGACAAGTTTCACTCTATCACTCAGGCTGGAGTGCAGTGGCGTGATCTCTTGACATTATGTGCATGAAATCAGTTTCCATAGATTCTAGGATCATTTGACTAGAACTTATTTAGCTAACTATTTTCACAGAGTCAGTCATAAAAATTATTTCAATTTAGAACAAGTAGCCAACACAGTCATGAAAATAGGCTGAGAACTTTTTACCTTAGTCTGTGAAGGCTCACCTTGAAGACAGAATGACAGGGATGACACAGTAGTCAAAATACTAATTCTCAAATGCAAAACAGCAACAGCAAAATAGAAGCAGAAGAATCAGTTTTACTGAGAGATCTTAGGCAATTGCAAATCATTGCCTTCTAATAAGTCATTCTCCTGGTGTCTTATGAAGAGAGCAGTTTACCTGGCCAAATGTAACTGGGGCAGGCATCTCAACTGCCAGGAAAAAAAGACCATCTCCAATATGCTGGGAAGTAGGATATCTGTGTGCTAGGAGCATTTTGAAAATGCCATTTTCTGTTTAGTTCCACGTGCTCTGAAAGGTCAAAAGCAGCTTGCACCTTACACCCTTAGCCTGATGTGGTGAATGGAACACTGAACAGGGAAAGATCTAGATGATCTATTATTGCCCTGGCTTCTTAACAAAATTGAATCATTTAAATCATAAAAAGATGTTAAAAGTGACTATGAACAGAATTGAGTATATTACAAAACTCTAGGTAAACCTAATTGTTCAAATCCATTCATATAATATAGAATTTAAATATACTTAACAAATGTATTTATTTCCCTTTTTCTTTCCAGGATATTTGAAAAGGAAAATAATCCATTATGTAAATTGTAATAGATAATTTTCAGATCAACAATTTCCTTGATGCTGCATGCAAAACTTTTAAATACTAAATTAAACGATCATCTTAAATATGAAAATAGAGGTATACCAACCCAGGAAATGCAGGTGGTATATGTTACAACTGCTGATGGAGAAATCTGCCTCATGGGAAAAGATTTGTGATGTTTAAGAAAAATTCCTGGAATCTTTCCTCGTTTTTTGAGACAGAGTTTTGCTCTTGTTGCCCAGGCTAGAGTGCAATTGCACAATCTTGGCTTACTGCAAACTCCACCCCCCAGGTTCAAGTGATTTCTTACCTCAGCCTCCCAAGTAGCTGGGATTACAGGCACATGCCACCACGCCCGGCTAATTTTTGTATTTTTACTAGAGACAAGGTTTTCACCATGTGGCCAGGTTGGTCTCGAACTCCTGACCTCACGTGATCTGCCCCTTGGCCTCCCAAAGTGCTGGGATTACAGGCATGAGCCACCGTGCCAGGCCGAATCTTCCCTCTTTTTTACCTTCCACATCCAGTAGAATTTAAAGTGCAGATTCATTTTACTAAACGGAACTTCTTCCCAAATCATTGCTAAAGCAGGACAGCATTTGTTCGATGCTGGACTGCAACTGCTATGGCCAATGTAGCCTCCTGACTGAGGTTCCCCTGCCAGATGCACAGGAGCCTCTGATCCGTAATCTGTCTGCTTCTTGTCTGCTGATTATGACTACACAACACGAAAGCATCAAATATCCCTTTAATCCCTGCCTCCTGAAGCCAATGGTCAAATCAAAACTGCTGCTCTTCATTCCTTTCCCTGAAATCTGCTTTGATCCAATAGCTTTCCAAAGTCACTGGAGCCCTGAATACTCTGGGCGTACGGTAGCCTGGCGTCTACCTCTTCTGGGCAAACACCCTTGTGTCCTCTGCCGTAAATAGGAGGACAAGGACTATTTGTATTCTTTTACTTCTCTCAACAAATTCTCATCAGATTTTGATGATGTTTCCCCTGGAAATAAGGGGTTCAGGTGCCATGAAAACATGCTATTACTTAAGTTAGAAAATGGGAGGCCAGGCATGGTGGCTCACTCCTGTAAACCCAACACTTTGAGAGGCTGAGGAGGCAGGATCGCTTGAGGACAGGAGTTAGAGACCAGCTCAGGCAACCTTTTCATGACTAAAAACAAAAAAGATTAGCTGGGCATGGTGGCACGTGCCTGTAGGTCCAGCTAGTCTGGAGGCTGAGGTGGGAGGATGGCTTGAGCCGGGGAAGTCATGGCTGCGTGAGTCTTAATCAGGCCACTGAACTCTAGCCTGGGCAACAGAGCAAGACCCCGTCTCGAAAAGAAATAGCTATTGTTCCATCTCTTGCCAATATTTTCATGTTAACAGTCACTCTTCATAACTCCTCTCCATTGTATGTCTTTGATACTTTCCAAGACCTTCTTTAATGTTGAAAAAGAGGATAGTGCAGTGGCACGATCTCGGCTCACTGCGACCTCCGCCTCCCAGGTTCAAGCAATTCTCCTACCTCAGCCTCCCGAGTAGCTGGGATTACAGGTGCCTGCCACCACCCTCGGCTAATTTTTGTACTCTTAGTAGAGACGGGGTTTTCCCATGTTGGCCAGGCTGGTCTCGAACTCCTGAACTCAGGTCATCCACCCACCTCAGCCTCCCAAAGTGCTGGAAGTACAGGCGTTAGCCACCACGCCCGGCCAAGCATTCTTTAGAAAAGGGAGACAGGGATATTTGAATTACGATTTCTAACTAATAAGCCCCATTCTTAGGTACTCTTATAGGTAAACTCCTGGTAATATTTTTGACATAATGATATGCTGGCAAATATTGATTAGGGACCATCACACTGGCATGCCTCATTCTCATTGTAGAAAAGCACTTGTTGATACCATTTGGAGCTCTGAGGAAATCAGAAAATACCTGGAAACAAAAATAAGACTTCTGCAAAACAAGTTAATAGAAATACACACCAATGCCGAAGACATAGATTCTAAAACATTCTAAACAATACCTTTTCAGTAATCAACATCAATATATTAGTGTTTTCTGTTATTTGTCTTTAACAAGCATGTGAGAGAAAAGTGTTTCTGTAATTGCACTTCAAATTTTGTTATTCTGGTTTGAGACTTGTAAGTAATTATTTTGGAAAGGTTTTAAGTAAATATTTGAGTTGATTATTCTTATCTGATTGGTGCACTGCTTTTAAAAAGTAGCTGGCTGCCAAGTCAATAGTTCCAGTGAGTTCATCTTGAAAAACAGGGCGTTCCAAACAGCATATTATAAACATTAGTGAAGTTACTCTGAACAAGAAGCTGTAATAATAGAAACAATCTAAATTATCCAGTAGATGTTATAATAACTGAGCTCCCTTTGAAAATTAACCTGTTTGTAGAAAATCACAGCTTTAATAACATTAAAATTATATTCATAGATTACTTCTTTTTTTTTTTTTTTTTTGAGACGGAGTCTCGTTCTGTCGCCCAGGCGGGAGTGCTGTGGCGCGATCTCCGCTCACTGCAAGCTCCGCCTTCCGGGTTCACGCCATTCTCCTGCCTCAGCCTCCCGAGTAGCTGGGACTACAGGCGCCCGCCACTGCGCCCGGCTAATTTTTTGTATTTTTAGTAGAGACGGGGTTTCACCGTGGTCTCGATCTCCTGACCTCGTGATCCGCCCGCCTCGGCCTCCCAAAGTGCTGGGATTACAGGCGTGAGCCACCGCGCCCGGCCTCATAGATTACTTCTTAAGGCTACAGCATGCTAAGGCTGTGGGGAGGAAACTAAAATGTCTTTCAAACAGCTTATGGCAAAGTGACAGAATATGTAATTTAGTGGCATATATAATATGTATATACTTGTTGGCATATATAATATGTATACACTTGTATGTGATGACAAGTTTGGTTAAGAATCAATTTTAAACATTAAGAAAACTAGATGATGAAATTATGTTAATTTTACTTGTTAAAACTCTCTCTCTGTCTTTTCTTTTTTGAGATGGAGTCTGGCTCTTGTCGCCCAGGCTGCAGTGCAATGGCATGATCTCGGCTCACTGCAACCTCCACCTCCCATCCAGGTTCAAGCAATTCTCCTGCCCCAGCCTCCCGAGTAGCTGGGATTACAAGTCCCTGCCACCACGCCCAGCTAATTTTTTGTATTTTCTGTAGAGACAGGGTTTCACCATGTTGGTCAGGCTGGTCTCAAACTCCTGACCTCGGGTGATCCACCTGCCTTGGCCTCCCAAAGTGCTGGGATTACAGGCATGAGCCACCACACCCGGCCTAAAACTCTTTTTATTTCAAAACAACGTTCCAAAAAATTGGCATCAGTTGAAGAAAGGAAAAAAAGGTATTGTTTGCTATTCCAAGGCTTCTATTTTCATTATTAGACTTTGGTTTATCCAAGCATATTAATGGCACAAAACTTCCTTGAAGTCCTACTTCTTATAGACGAATGTGACATGTGTTAGCTTATGCGAATGTTCTATTTCAAGAACTCTTGTGTCTCCTTAGCTGGTTCTTCTCCCAAGAATGCCCCTCAGCGCTGGGGCTCCACAGACTTCTGCCCAGGGCCTTTTCTCACCCACATCACTGACTTCAATGACCACTTTTATGGTCCTGCTTCCAGAATGTATCATCTCCAACCTAGGCATTGCTCTTGAGTTATAGCAATATGGATTCATTTCCAACTTTTCAAATTTGCTATATTCCAAACTGAGCTCATCACCTTCTGTGAACCTTCTTGTTTTTCTGTATTCCTTCTCACCCATTACCCCACAGACTAATCAAAAAGCCTTGTTTTCTTCCCACCTGATATTCTTATTTCACATCTAAACGATAATCAAGATTCGTCCATTTTCTTCCTAAATTTTTTGTAACATAATAGCTTTATTGAGAAATAATTTACACACTATACAATTCACCCAGTTAAACTATGCAAGTCATTTCTTAAAATATATTCAATAAGTTGAGCAACTATCACCACAGTCAACTTTAGAACATTTTCATCACTCCAAAAAAAAAAATAAAAACCACCGTACATGATAGCATTTCCTCTCCATTTCTCCCCAAAGTCTCCAGCACCAGGCAACCACTATTCTACTTTCTGTCTCTAAGTGTTGCTTTTCCAAAAATTTTATATAAATGGAATAATACAATATGTGGTCTTTTGTAACTGATTTCTTTCACTTAGCATAATAGTTTTAAAGTTCATCCACGTTTTAGCGAGTATCAGTACTTCAATACTTTTTATTATTGAATAATATTCTATTGTATGTGCTGGACGTGGTGGCTCAAGCCTGTAATCCCAGCACTTTGGGAGGCCGAGTTAGGAAGATCACTTGAGGTCAGGAGTTCGAGACCAGTCTGGCCAACATGGTGAAACCCCATCTCTACTAAAAATACAAAAAATGAGCCAGGCATGGTGGTGGGCGCCCGTAGTCCCAGCTACTCGGGAGGCTGAGGCAGGAGAATGGCGTGAACCCAGGAGGCAAAGCTTGCAGTGAACCGAGATCGTGCCACAGCACTCCAGCCTGGGTGACAGTGGGAGGCTCTGTCTCAAAAAATAAAACAAAAAAACAAAAACGGAAAAAACAAAAATTAGCCAATCATGGTAGCAGGCACCTGTAATCCCAGCTACTCAGGAGGCTGAGGCAGGAGAATCACTTGAACCTGGGAGGCAGAGGTTGCAGTGAGCTGAGATGACGCCATTGCACTCTAGCCTGGGAGACAAGAGCGAAACTCCGTCTCAAAAAAAAAAAAAAAAAGAATTCTATTGTTTGGATATTTATCCATTCATCAGCTGATAGAAATTTGAACTGTTTTCACATTTTGGCTATTATGAATAATACTGTTGTAAACATTCCTGCACAAGTTTGGGTGTGGACATATGTTTACATTCATCTTGGGTACATACCTAAAAGTGGAAATGCTGGGTCATATTACTATTACTACTCTATTTTTAACCTTTTGAGAGATTGCCAGACTGTTTTCCAAAGTAATTGCACCATTTTACACATTTGCCAGCAGTCTATGAGCGTTCCAATTTCCCCACATCTTCACAAACACTTGTGGTTGTCTGATTTTATTATGGCCATCCTAGTAGGTATGAAATAGTATCTCATTGCAGTTTTGGTTTGCATTTTTCTGATGGTTAACTATGTCCTGCATGTTTTCAGGTACATGTTGGTTGTTGTATATTTTCTTTGGAGAAATGTCTATTCAGATCCTTTGGCCATTTTTAAATTGTGTCCTTTGAATTTTTATTGTTAATTTGTAAGAGTTCTTTATATATTCTACCTACAAGTCTCATATATATGTTTAGAAAATATTGTGTCTCATTCTGTGCGTTTTCTTTTTACTTTCTTGATGGTAGCCTTTGAAACACAAATTTTTAACAAATGATGATCTAATGTACTTATTTTTTCTTTTCTTTTCTTTTTTTTTTTTTTTTTTTTTTTGAGACAGAGTCTCGCTCTGTCGCCCAGGCTGGAGTGCAGTGGCAGGATCTCGGCTCACTGCAAGCTCCACCTCCCGGGTTCACACCATTCTCCTGCCTCAGCCTGCAGAGCAGCTGGGACTACAGGCGCCCGTCACCGCACCTGGTTAATTTTTTTGTATTTTTAATAGAGACGGGGTTTCACCGTGGTCTCGATCTCCTGACCTTGTGATCCGCCTGCCTCAGCCTCCCAAAGTGCCGGGATTACAGGCGTGAGCCACCGCACCCGGCCTGTATTTATTTTTTCTTTTGCTTCCTGTGTTTTTATTATCCTATCAAAGATGACTTTGCCTAACCCAAGGTTATGAAGATTCACTACATTTTTTTTTTTTTTGGAGCTGTATATGTTTTAGCTCTTACACGGGGGCCTATGATCCACTTTGAGTTAATTTTTGTGCATAGTATGAGTCTCAAATACTTTTAAAATTTGTCTTCTCATTGCCAACCAAATGGTCACTTCTTTTGTCCAAGCCAATGTCCTTTCTGGCCTAGATTACCACATGAATCTTTTCATCATTATCTTTGCTTTCCATCTGGGTCAGCTTCATTCTATGTTCTGAAACAATCAGTCTTTCTAAAATACATACCTAAGTGTGTTACTCTCCATAGAGAAATGTATATATTTATTTTCGAGACTGAGTCTTGCTATGTTGCTCTGGCTGAGCTCAAGTGATCCTCCTGCTTCCACCTCCTGAGCAGGTGGGAGTACAGGCGTGCACCAGCACATCCAGCTAGAGAAACGTATTTTTAACAATGCAGAGTATACCTTGGCTTTAGCCTTAGGTATACGAACTCAGAAAGAGAAGAATTCTGTAATCAGATAGTCTCATATATCTGAGAGTTTGCTGTGTTCCTGCCTAAAAAAATTGTATTATAAATCTGGATACTTGAATATTCTCTAAGATTTCAGAGTAACAAAGTGAAAATTCTACCCCAAATTGTAAGGAAGGTGATAAGAACTTTATTTTATTTGTTTTTCTCTTGTGTTTTTGTTGTCATTGTTTTTGACTAATATATACATATCAAGAGGTTATATGAAACGATTCTGACATCCATAAATATTCACTCACAACAAAGATACATATAATTTTAAAAAATAACAGTCAGGAATTTTTTTATGTTCTTAGATTTCAAATTATAAAATAAAGATATTAAGTAAATAATGAGAGATATATTTTGCCTTCAGAGTTGATCGGCATCAACTTCGTGCCCACGTGCCCAGTATTCAGTTTTGTATATAGTGGGCCATAAATAAATTGGTTTCTAAGTGAATTAATATAATGTGAGCCTGCTAAGATAATATAATAAATTAGAACAAAATTATTAGTTATTAGAAGTGCTAAATATTGTTGTAAAGTTTAACTTCTCAATTAAAAATAAGTATAAATTTAACCAGTGTATAAATAAATTTGCTACTAACTTATAAAAGTTTGAAAGATAATTTTGCATAATCAGAAAGAATTATTGATCTATAGCTGTTATAAACTTGTTTCATGTATCTTTAGCCATGCATTAAAATATAATTTTAATGGTTTTTGTATCCTGAAGAGATTAAACTACAAAATTCATGAATAAACTTAAATATTTATTTTAATAGTACTTAAATCTTGGTTTTCATCCAAGAAGTGATTGCAGATGGATTTACATGCTGACCTGACATATAAAACATTCTTACTGTAACTCACAGGCATCCAAGAAAGCTATGGGATGGGAGAAAGAAATATTTTTATAAATTTTATTGGAACAAACATAGCATTATGAACAATATGCATTTTTCTCCTGGGAACTTACCCGTGAAACAGAAGCCTGTTCATTATGCCCTCAATGCAGCAATGAAACTGTACAGGTTGTGAGGCAGTGACACAAGCATGAATGGCCAGAGTGTTAGTGAGATCTGACCCAGAATGATCTTGCATATGAATCTGCCTTTCTCTAAAGAGAACCATGCGAGGCTTACAGCTGACATTTTACTTAATTCGTGTTGCACGTTGGCCATTTATTACATGAGTTATTTTGTGAAATAATAGAAAAGGAAGAACTGTGGGTTAGTGGTCATAGCCAGGGAACTGAAAATCAGAAGTGAGTGCTCAGGTCTGACAATGGCTTTTTGTGTAGTAGTAGACAAGGTTCCTGACTTTAGCAATTATGGTTACCATAGATTAACTGTGTACTACATTAATTTTCCTCCCTTCTAATTTAGGGAAATTAAGTTCATTAAGTCATCAACATTCACTGAGCACTTACTATGTAGAAGACACAGACAGACCATAATGAGGCATACATTCTAGAAAGAAAATGTGTCTTGCGGCTTTGATATTCAGACATTTTGAATGAAACGATCTGGCAATAAAATTTCTTCAGAATTTTAATAGGTCCAGTTTGGAAAGGCCCATACATGGAATGACGATTGGCAGGAGCACCTCTCCAACACTTTTATGAATTTCCTGAATTACATTAGTGCTTAGATTAGATTATGCAAAGCTGAGTTTGCAGCACTGGAGACCTGACATGGCATAAAAGGGTGTGGCAGATAACTTGGTCTAAGCCCACCTACAATCCCAACATGCTCAACAAAGTTGCGGTATTGCCTCCCAAATGTCATAGGCAAATGACACAGCGCATGTTGTGGGTTTGATCCCATCCTTGCTATTCAAAGGCTACATGATCTCTGGCAAGTCAACCTCTCATGGTTTTCTCACCTATGAAAGGAACATCATAACAGTAATCTCATATGCTATTGTAAGAATTATATAAAATAACTGCCAGCATTTAGAGGGCTCAACAAATATTAGCCCCCTGGTGTCTTCCTCTGACCAGAAACATCTCAAGATGCCACTGCTGCAATCATATAGTTGCATGGAAATTATGTTTTTCAGCCAATCCAGATCAGATTCTAGTCCAATATCTATAGCTGAAAAAATGTAGAGAAATAAATGTTAGAAACGTCTGAGCTGGGAGTCCTTGGCTCTTCCCTGGTTTTATTTGTGACTTTAAGAAATTAATTCAGCATCCTTTGGCTTCATGGAAACCCCTGGGAATAAGAAAATAAATACTGTTCCAATGCTTCTTATATGGTTATTGGGTGAGTCAAATGAATCATGGAGGTGGTTCCAAAAAATAATGCATTATTCATTTGCCATTTTATTCTGAGCAAAAATTAGAAAAAGGAGAGAGGAGAGAAAATCACATTGAATTGTACCCAATCATTCCCCAAAGAACAAATTTGCAAATTCATACTATGGAGAAGTTAGTTCAATATGTCCACCACCAATTTACACAGAAACAATCAGCACTTTGGGCTAAAACACAAGACTAGTTGTGCAAATCTCACCAGCCAGAACCTTCAGACTCAGGGCTGCCTATAAGAGTGAACAAGCATGGCATCTACTTTCAAAGCTAAATAGTAACAATAATAGTAATAATTTATGAAACCTTGGCAGTATTTTTTTTTTTTGAAATAGAAGTTCACTTTTGTTGCCCAGGCTGGAGTGCAGTGGGGCGATCTCGGCTCACTGCAACCTCTGCCTCCCTGTTCCAAGCGATTCTCCTGCCTCAGCCTCCAGAGTAGCTGGGATTACAGGCGCGCACCACCACGCCTGGCTAATTTGTTGTATTTGTAGTAGAGACGGGGTTTCATCATGTTGGCCAGGCTGGTCTCATACTCCCGACCTCAGGTGATCCACCCGCCTCGGCCTCCCAAAGTGCTGGGATTACAGGCGTGAGCTACCGTGCCTGGCCCCTTTGGGGTATTAATAACAGTAAAATAAGGATCTGATGAGATAATTGGAAAAAAGTCAGTCCCATGTTTCCACCACACCCATGACATTTCAGAAGAGGTGTTTAACCTTATGAAACCTTCTCATGTTAGCATGAGGATTCCTTTCACACAAGTCAGTATTTTTAAAACCAGCTACTGCAATGTTTTCCACAAGCAACTACTAAGAATATGTTCTTTTCTCCTTCTCCAGAAAAAAAACAAAACAAAACAAAAAAAACCAGAGGATTTTCTTATACACCATTTCTGCAAGAATGAGAAGAGAACAAGCTGGGAGTGGGAAGCTTCACTAAAGGCAGCAGCAGGTCCCAGGGAAGAGAGCACATGGCAGCCCTGGCCCCTCACAGCTGGCACGGAGACAGCTCTCCCAACCTAAAAGGATGTGTGTGTACCACATAATACGAAGGAGAAAAAACTCAGAAAATCAGGAAGAAAACATTAAAATAATCTCCATTCCATAGGAAACATCACATTTTAAAAGTTTAAAATTTTGTTATAACAAAATTTATGTTATATATAAAATTTATAATTTATATTAAATATAAATATATAACATGTATCAATTTATAAAATGTTTTATGTAAAATCTTCAATTTTACGTGTAAAAGTTCATAAACAAAATGGTTTTCTCAACATGGAGGATTATCAGAAAACAATTTTTTAAAATTTATGTGAGACTAGAATTATTCTTACTCTAAATCATTGTGATATTATTAAATGTGAGAATGCCATTTAGAATCCAAGAAAAGTCCAAACCTCCTTCCAGCTTAGTTAAAAAAAATAAAATGACAAATAAGTTCCATGCTGGCCAATAACAATTAAACATACCATTCAAGAAAGAATAGCAAATAATACCCAGGTATTCAGACTTCCATCTTTGCAGATACTCAAAGGCAAAGAACTTCATCCATTGTTACAATTGAACACTGTGTAAGCAGAGGATATACTTTAGTTTATAATGAAAAACATAGGAAGAATGTAAATTGGTTTTGATTTTGAACTGCAGTGTGCATAAAAATGTACAGAAAGACATTCAAATAGATGATATCCGTACAGATCTATGTACCTGATTTTAAAGTAGTGTAAGATTATATTTGTTCCCTGTGAAAACCGAAGAGCATCATCAAAAATACCTGAGCGCTCTTATTTTCTTTCCCTTTTTCATTTTAAGCCCTGCATATAGTACCTGACCTCACAGCTTTTTGTTTGTAAATGAAGTGAATAAGCAGACATACTTGACAGCATCACTTAAGGCATTCTGAACATTCTAGGATTCTGTGCAGACACCAGGTCATGACATCATCACTGCTCTTGCTTCAAAGCGCAGAGGAATGAGTTGGATAAAACATGGCAGGATTTTGAAATCCTAGGCCCAGTTCTACTCTAATTCACCTATGATTTGGGCACTTTTCCTTCCTGGGTGTCACTTGCTTTGTTTATAGAAGCTAAATATATAAAGGCATTAAGTTCTTTTACTACAATACCCACAAATGACCATTTCTTGAAGAAAATTGTTGGGATATAGAAATACTGGGCAGGAAAAGTTAGGGAAATCATATGTGCTTGAGAATCACATTGCCAGGCTCAAATCAGGTCAACATCATCTAGACATGAACTAGAACCAATGACTAAACATCTTTAAGTCTGTTTCCTCTTGTATAAAATAGGGATAATAAAGGTACATGCTTCATAGGGTGGTGAAGATGAAGGGATGTAATGCCATCAGTAAATAGTCAATGAATGTCACTATTTTTTGCTCCTTTTAAGACAGGAAGGAATATTTATGAGCTAACTGGACAATGACCTCTAATGACTTGGATGGTGCCTTAGATGGAGTCCCTCATTCCTCCACAGTCCTGACACAGTGTTGTAAGTTGTTAGAGCCACCGAAGGTTATGATGTTCACAGTGGCAGACAAGAACAAGGCAACATATGGAGACATAAACCAATAGATCTCATTTTGGTGAAACATTAAGCCTATCCTAACACTAGCCTGCAGTTTCCCTATTTATAGCTAAATTGGAAAATTAACCTCTAATAAAAACAGGTAGCCCTGCATTGAATTAGCTTCATTTCTGGATAAACTATAGACAGGAAGAGAATAGGTTTATAACCATTACCATTTGCCCAGTCTTCATTGCCCAAGCCAGAAACGAGAAAAACATCATTAACTTCTGAAATCTAAAACTTCCCATACCACTTTACTGCTTAAATCATTTTAACAATCTCTATTGCTTAAAACTTGTTTCAGCCTTGAAGTAAAATTTAGATACAATAAACCATACATATTTAAGTCTTGCAGTTTGATGAATTTTGCTATAAGGGTACACCCAAGAAGCTATCACTGCAGTGAAGATAATGAACATACCCATCAACACCAAAGGTTTCCTTGAGCCCTGTAGGGTCCTTCCCTTTCCCCTACTTCACACCTCTCACTTTCCTGTTCAGAGACAACCACAGGTCTACTTTCTGAACCTATAGATTTGTTTGTCTACAACCTTATGTATATGGAGCCATGTAGTATGCTATCTTTTGTGTTTAGCTCATTTAACTCAACAAAACTATTTTTAGTCTCATTGAAGTCATTGAACGTTTCAACAGATAATTCCTTTTCAGGCTGAATAGTATTCCACTGCACAGACATAACACAATGTGTTTATTCATTTACCCGATGATGGACATTTGGGTTATTTCCAGTTTTCAGCTATTATGAATAAAGCACATATCAACTTTCATGCACAAGTTTCTAAACAGTTTGTTTAGACATAAACATTTGTGTTTTGGTTTCTGCCTGTGTACGGTTATCTTTTACCCTTCTATTTCTAATAAACTGCAGTTGTGTAACTCAAAACTTCTCTCTGTACCCCCTTGCCAGGCCAAACCCCTTTTTATATCTCAAATTCCAGAATCCTTTCACCAGAGACGCATATTGTTACACCTTCACTTCTACAGACTGTTCTCTCTAGGCCATTCAGGAGAGGTGCTCCTCTTCTCTGTAGGCTGAGCTCATCATACAGGATCCTAATTTCCCATCACAGTAATTAGAACTATCTATTTAGATGTTCACATCCCACTGGGGCTTTAAACTCTTACATGTCATGATCAAGGTAGTTTTCATCTTAACTCTCCAGGTCCCAGAAAATAAATATTTGTTGAACTGGGTGTTGCATGTGCAAGGAAATAAGTATAATTATATATTTAAACTACATATTCACTCAAAATCACATTATAGATGGTGGATTTGTAAATGTGCAATCTCTAATGTTTCAAAACACTCACCACCGCCTCAAGGTTTCCAACCTAATTTTTTTTTTTTTTTTTTTTTTGAGATGCAGTTTCGCTCTGTTGCCCAGGCTGGAGAGCAGTGGTGCAATCTTGGCTCACTGCAAGCTTTGCCTCCTGGGTTCACACCATTCTCCTGCCTCAGCCTCCCTAGTAGCTGGGACTACAGGTGCCCGCCACCATGCCCCACTAATTTTTTTTGTATTTTTAGTAGAGACGGGGTTTCACTGTGTTAGCCAGGATGGTCTCGATCTCCTGACCTTGTGATCCGCCCGCCTCAGCCTCCCAAAGCGTGGGATTACAGGCGTGAGCCACTGCGCAGGGCCCCGGTTTCCAACCTAATTTATGCATGTTTTACAGTCGCAGGCGAAAGCTGTGTTTTAAAATATGTCATATTCCACAATTCTGCAGGGATGTTTATGTCCCTATTTATTCAAAGTATTAGTATTTTATAAATCTACGTAACTCACATGTGTCTCATAAAGTAGCACGAGTACTTCTGAGTCAGCAAGTCACAGGGTTGCCTTTGCTGTGCTGGATGAGGTATTTTACATTCTTTTGTTGTTTAAGCTTATTTTCTTGCAAAGTTGTACTAAGAAATTATGTTTCTGAAAAGTTCTAAAATTACAATCCCTCTTTGGTGATAGACGGTTTCTAAATACTTCATAATGGGCTGACACTGTCAACTACGTTGTGAACTTTCCCTCCTCTGAATGAAGCTCCACATCCTGGTCCCATCCAACGGGGAAGCCCCTCAGCTCAGGATTTTCTGTGGTACATAAAGGACAGTGTTTCACCAAATTAGTTCTTTTTGCACTAGGGAATTGGGCATTTTTTAAATATTTTAATTAATAACTTACACATTTTTATAGCATGTTTTTGTTTTTATTATCTTAAATTTTCCCATCACAACTTCATAACTTTCATTTTCCAGTTGAGGAAACTCCAGTTTTACAAGGTCATAAAATGTGTCCAGGCCTACAGACTCCAGACTCAGAAACGAATCTTCAGATTCCAAACCCTTTGTACTATACCCATTGCCTCCCTGTCAATGCAGCCTAATTAAACTGCTAAAAATCAAAGCAAACATTTTCCTTCGAGATTCTGAACATTTATCATATGTCATTGGTCCAGGTTTTTGCCTAATGTCTTAAGGATGAAATTGAACTTTTGGTTTCTTTGTGAAAAGATGTCAGCATTTAAAAGGAAAGATTATATAGTATAGTTTTACCACAAAACCCAGTGATATCAGATTGATGTTACCTAAGCTAGGGGTTCATTGCAAAAGTAGAATCCAAGACCGAAAAAAATAACAATCAACAAAACCATGACATAGCTTCAGTACTCGATGGTAATGGCATGCAGGATGCGATTTAAGATGCAAGGAGGAAATCTAATGAATAATATTGTTCAAATAGTATGAGATTTTTGTTTCTAAATAAAAAAATGTGTTTTTTGCTTTCTTAACTTCCATCAATTGTCAATGTTTTACAGAGAGTTTACAAAACCCATGGAGAGGAAATTGGACCTGAACAATGGGAGCCAGTGCATTTGTTTTTCATACTTAGGAAAAGAATTAACCAAATATTTTATCTTTCAATTTATTACTTATTAAGCTGTTTTCCCCACACACTGTTATTGTTGTATTAGCTAAATACATGTGTCTAAGTCCATTTGGGTTGCTATGACAATATATTTGAGACTGGGTAATTTACAAACAGGAGCCTTTTTTGTTGATAGTTCTGGAGTCTTGGAAGTCCAAGATCAAGGTGCTGGCAGATTCAGGGCCTGGTGAGGGCCTAGTTTGTCACAGAGGCACCTTCTATGTGTCCCAACATGGCGGAATGAGTGAATAAGTTCCCTTAGGTCTTGTATATAAGGACACTAATTCCAGTCACAAGGGAGGACCCCTCATGATTTAATCACCTCTTAAAGGACCCACCTCTTAATACCACTATATTGGAAATTAAGTTTCAGTATATGAGTTTTGGGGGTGAAACCAATGTTCAGACCATACCATTCCACTCCTAGCTTTCCAAAATTTGTGTCCTTCTCACATGCAAAATGTATTCATTCCATCACAATAGCCAGTATCAGCTCAAAAGTCTAAAGAAGTCCAGAGTCTCATCTAAATGTCATCTAAATCAGATACAGATAAGATTCAAGAAATGATTCATCCTGAGGCAAATTTGTCTCAAGCTGGGAGCTTATGAAATCAAACAAGTTATGTGCTTCCAAAATACAACAGTGAGACAGGCATAGGATGGAGATTCCCATTCTAAAAGGGATACATAGGAAGGAAGAAAGGGGTAACTATTAATAGTCCCAAATAAATTCAAAACCCTGTTGGGCGAACATTAATTATTAAGGCTTGAGAATAAACTTATTTGACTCCATGTCTCATGTTCTGAAAGAATTGGCTGAGGGTTTAGACTCCCAAAACTCTGAGTGGCCACACCTCATGGCATTTAGGCACAGCCCATGAGTTGCACACCAGTGGCCCCACAAATCAAGGAGGTGACCCTGGGCCCATGGTTCCACCAGACATTGCCCTAGTTGGAGCTCTTTGAGGTGGTTCTGTCCCCAAAGCACCACTGTAAATTGCCCTAGTTGGGTTCTCTGCAGTGACCCCACCCCTACAACAGTCCTCTGCCTGGGCCTGAGGCCCTCTGGGGTGGCTAAAAAGCCAAGCTGTAATAGCTCCATAATGTGAAGCTTCAAAATGCTTAGTAGACAAAGGTCTTCCAGGAGGACACTCTAAGAACAATAATGAGTGTTGAATGAAAAGTGAAACCTCATGATCTCACTTGTATGTGAAATCTAAAAGAGTTGAATTCACAGAAATAGCAAGTAGCAAGTGGTTACCAGATGCAGGAAGTGGGAGGTAGATGGAGGAAGGGGAGATGCTGGTCAATGGGTACAAAGCTATAGTTAGTTGGAGGAAGAAATTCTCGTGTTCTCTTGCAGAATAACGTGACTATATTTGATAAGAATGTATTGTACATTTATAGCGAAAACAGATCATTTTAAACGTTCTCACTGCAAAGAAAACACAAATATTTGAGGTTAAGGATATGCTAATTACCCTGATTTGGTCATTCTACAATGCTTGCATCTATCAAAATATCAATTTGTACCCCACAAATATATGCAATTATTATTTGTCAATTAAAAGTAAAATAAAACTTAAAAAAATGAAAATCTCCCAATTGTTTATATCCTGGAGGCTCTGCTGATATGGACACAGCTAGATGATTTAACTCTAGAGGAGCCCTTTTCGGGGAGATAGAAACAACAGAACCATTGGTGGCTAGACTTGACAAAATTAGAGATTTGAAGGGCTTTAAATTCCCAGCAGGCCTCTCCTTTAAGGCATTGGCCACATTCTGAAGCTGTTCATGGAGGAAGCCTATCGATCTCAAAAAAAAAAAAAAGAAAAACAAAAAACAAACTACTGAGCTCTAAGGCCACACAATAATTACATAAGCCATAAGTTCTAGAGTCAACGAGTTGGACTAACCTCAAATGGGCAGTTTTCAGAGTCTCCCTTGACTGGTAGTTGACTAAGAGATGTCTGATTTCGCTGAGAAGCAAAGCTAAAATTCCAGATTTCTGGGTACTGAGGAGCCGAAGACATCGTGATTTCAAATAAACCCTTGGAATCCATGTTCTTGGGTACAGGAACTAACCAGAGTTAGACGAAGTTTTAATGAAGCTTTAACCCAGCCTTGATCCAGCTAAGTTCATAACAAACAAGATAATGAGCCCCTAGCCTTTGATTAGCAAAGTGTTGATTCTCTCTTGTAGACATTATCATCTGAAGCTTCTAATTTTTAAAAAATAAACCATATCGGGCCGGGCGCGGTGGCTCACGTCTGTAATCCCAGCACTTTGGGAGGCCGAGGCGGGGGGATCACGAGGTCAGGAGATCGAGACCATCCTGGCTAACACAGTGAAACCCCGTCTCTACTAAAAATACAAAAAATTAGCCGGGCGAGGTGGCGGGTGCCTGTAGTCCCAGCTACTAGGGAGGCTGAGGCAGGAGCATGGCGTGAACCCCGGGGGGCGGAGCCTGCAGTGAGCCGAGATCGCGCCACTGCACTCCAGCCTGGGCAACAGTGAGACTCCGTCTCATAAACAAAACAAAACAAAAACAAAACAAAACAAAAAACCATATCTAGCACACAACTAAAATGTAATGAATATATTAAAGTATCAGTTTTATATTGTCACAATAATGCTATGTACCAGAAAAAAAAAAAAAAGGAAAACTACTCAGCTTTAAGGCCACACAATAATTACATAAGTCATGAGTTCTAGAGTCAATGAGTTGGACTAACCTCAAATGGGCAGTTTTCAGAGTCTCCCCTGACTGTCAGTTGACCAAGAGATGTTTGACTTGGCTGGAATAAACTGGTGGGTTTGGCTCTGCTCCTTGTGCTCATTCCCCAGCAAGCTCATGTGTCCCTATTCTTGTGACAAGGACAGAGGAGCAAAAGGGCAAGAAGAAACATACAGGCACTTTTTCAAGCCTCTGCTTGTGCCATTTTGCTAACATGGCCAAAGCCAGCCGTGTGGCTACTCCTAGATTTAAGTGGCAGAACACTCTGCCCAGGGGAAGGAAACTGGGAAGTTAAAAGGCGAAGTGTGAGGACAGAGGGAGGGGTAAAACTCAGGGACTTGAGTACAATAAATCCACTACATCAAGAATAAGATGGCATAAGCCATAAATAACAGGGAAGAACACAAGAGCAACTTGTGATCCAACTACTGTATTAATTGACAATGAATTTAAAGTAACTGTTGGGTACATTCAGAAAACAGAAGAAAGAATGTAAAAATATATAAAAATTCAGAGGATTTTCAACAAAGAATGAGAACTTATTAAAAGTAATTGAAAGGATACTATAAACTAAAAAATAAAATATATGATATTAGGAACTCACTAAGACCTTGGGGACACGAGTAAGATAGCAAAACAGGAGGTCTCCCCCTCCTTTCCCCGATGACAACAAGAATTCTACACCCCATCCGTAAACAAAAATCTCTTTGTGGGAGCCTTGGGATTCAGGCAGGAGGTTGTGAAATCCTAGAGTAGCTCAAAACCTAGGAGTGTCATTTTGAGAGTGCAGACCTGCACCCACATGGCAGATGCATTCACCATGCTCCAAGGTTTAGATCCAGAAATGTTTGTTCTTTGAAGGGTTTGGCTCCAGCCCTATTTGGCCTTGACCCTGCTACTGAAACTATCTGCCAATGGGCCTAGGGGGAATCATGCACACTAGTGTCTGGGCAGACAGGGCTGCCAACATTGGTCTCAGCATTAAACCCAAAAGATATCCTGTAACTCAGCTCCAACACCCCCTCAGCTATGCTCCTAGTTTAGTACTGCTTGGAACTCTTGGGAGATGCACCTGGATGGGCTTGCCATTCTCCATCCCATAACAGTTCCCAAATGGGTTCTGAATCTCAGCTCCAGCCTCATCTCAGCCGTGGTCTGGGAACAATTCTGTCTGATTAGGGAACTGGCTGGGAATATCACCCACCCATGCCACCAGGTCAGGCTTGCCAACATAATTCTTACAGCATATTGTGAATTAGCCCTGAAGCTTGAGTTAATTAGCCCCTCCCAGCTGTGGTCTGGAAGCAGTTCTGCCCAGCTAGGATTCTAGTGGGAGACATGCCCATCTGAGTGTCCATGGGAGGCTTGCCAAACTTTGTCCCAAAGTGGATCCTCAAATGACCCTGGATCTTATGCCCCTTTTGTGTAGAGATTGATAACAGTTCTGCTTGCTTGGGGACCCAGAGGGAGACACGTCTAGCAGTGCCCCTATAGGTAATGCCCTGACTTTGGTCCCATTATGGATCTTGAATAACCCTTAAAAATTGGCTCCAATCTTTCTCAATTACAGTCTAAAAATAAGACTGCTAACCCAGAAACCTACCAGGATATACGCTTAGTTATGATCCTGGAGACTGGCCTGAACTTCTCAGTCTCAGCTGTGGGCCCTGAAACAACCTTGAATCTTAATTCCAGCCATCTCAAATCATGGACCAGGGCAGTACAACCAGCCCAGGGCAGATCATCCAACCAGTGATCCAATGGAAGCTCTCTCAGAGACTCAGAAAAGGCCACACTCATCAGCATACTGGGTAAATTCTGAAGCAGTACATCATATCAATATCAGCTCCACATACTAAGATCTTAGAGATGGTCCAGTTCACCCAGGGACCAGATAGAACTCATGCCCAAGAGAACCCCTGGAAAGAGGCCTGTTGATTATGGTGTCTACTGCAGACCCAATATCAGCCACATGACCTGGATCTAATACCACTCTACTGCCTACTGCAATCCCAGAGGCAATCTCCTTAATCCAAAGACCTAATAGGAGAGGATTTTAACTTGGCAAATCCAGTCTGTAAAGCCTGAGAGATGAGTTTGCTCCTTTCAGCGTATAGACATCAATGCAAAGCTACACAGATAACAAATAATCACACAAACATTATACCACCAAAGGAAACTAATAAAACTTCAATAAGTGACTCCAAAGAAATGGAGATGTGTGGATTGTCTGAAAAATAATTCAAAAGAATTATCCTAAAGAAGCTCAATGAGATGCAAGAAAATACACATAGACAACTAAGTAAAATTATACAAATATTAAATGAACAAATAAAGAAGTTTAATATAGAAATAGGAACCATAAAAAAACTCAACAGACGCCCTAGAGCAGATGAATAATATGAAAGAACTGAAAAACTGAGTTCTAACAGTGGACTTGATCATGCAGAAGAAAGAATTAGTGAACCCAAAAGTAGGTCACTTGAAATTAACCAATTAGAGCAATAAAAAATAATGAAAAAAAGTGAAGAAAGCATAAGAACCACCAAACATGAATATAGGCATCCCTTGGTATCCACAGGAAATTGGTTCCAGAACCCCTCATAAATATAAAAATCTGCTAACACTCAAGTCCCATATATAAAATGGCATAGTATTTGCACATAACCTATGCATACCCTCACAATATGCTTTAAATAATCTCTCCATTACTTATAGTACTTAATACAATGTAAAAGTTATATAGTTATTATACTGTATTGTTTTCTAGTATTATTTTTATTGTTGTATTGTTATTTTTATTGTTTTTTAAAAATATTTTCCATCAGTGGTAGCTTGAATCCATGGATGCAGAACAAGCAAATATAAAAGATCAACCGCATACAAACTACTGGAATACCATAAAGAGAAGAAAGAGACAAAGAGGTAGAAAGCTTATTTAAATAAATACTGCCTGAAAACTTCCCAAATCTTGGGAGTGATATGAATATACAGTTTCAGGAAGGTCAAAGCTGTCCTAGCAAGATCAATTTTAAAAAAGGAAGACTTTGAGACACATTATAATCAAATTGTCAAAAATCAAGAAAGACAGAAAAGAGACTCTTGAATAAAGGAAGAGAGAAGAAACTTGTCACATAGAAAGAATATTCCATAAGGCTATCAGTAGACTTCTCAACAGAAAGCTTGCAACCAAGGAGAGGGTAAAGTGACATACACAAAATTCTAAAAGAAAACCAATCAAGAGTATTTTGCCCAGTAAAGCTGTCCTCCATAAATGAAGGAGAGACAATGATATTCAAAGACAAACAAGCTGAGGGAGTTCATCACCAGGAGACTGGCCTTACAAGAATGCTTAAGAGAGTTATTTGAATTGAAATAGAAAGATAGGCTGGGTGGGGTGGCTCACGCCTGTAATCCCAGCACTTTGGGAGGCCAAGGCAGGCTGAACACAAGGTCAGGAGTTCGAGACCAGCTTGGTCAATATGGTTTCTACTAAAAAATGTAAAAATTAGCTGGGCATGGTGGCGCATGCCTGTAGTCCCAGCTACTTGGGAGGCTGAGGCAGGAGAATTGCTGGAACCTGGGAGGTGGAAGTTGTACCACTGCACTCCAGCCTGGGTGACAGAGCAAGATTTTTTTGTCAAAAAAAAAAAAGATAATAAGTAACTACGTGAAAACATATTAATGTATAAAATTCACTGGTAAAGGTAAATATATAGTCAAATTCAGCATACTCTATTACTGTAAAGGTGGTATGTAAATCACTCTTAATTTTAGTATAAGAATTAAAAGAAAACTATTAAAAGCAACTATAACTATAAACAATTAGTTTACAGATACACAATATAAATAGACGTAAAGAATGGACCAATAGCATAAAATTTCGAGAGAAATAAAAGTGTAGATTCTTTGTATGCAATAGAAGATAAAATACTATTAGCTTAAATTAGGGCATTATAACTATAAGATATTTTAATTCAAACTTCATGGTAACCACAAAGAAAAAAAAACTCTAGTAGAACACAAAAGAGAAAGGAATCAAAGCATATCACTACAAAAATCACACAAAAAGGCAGCAAGATTGGAAGAGTGGAACAAGATAACTACAAAACTAAAAAAAAAATTAGCAAGATGGCAGTAGTAAGTTCTTACCTGTCAATAACTACTTTAAATGTAGATGGATTAAATTCTGTAATCAAAAGAGATAGAGTAGCTGAATGAATAAAAAGACAAGATTGAATAATATGCTCCCTACAAGAGATTCACTTTAGCCTTAAGGGCACACATAAACTGAGAGGTAGGAAATAATAATAATAAAAAGGATATTCCAGGCAAATGATAACCACAAGAAAATGGAGGTGGCTATACTTATATCAGACAAAATAAACATTAAGTCAAAACTGTAAGAAAAGACAAAGAAGGTCACCATATTATGATAAAGAGGCTAATTCATCGAGAGGATATAAGAATTTTAAGGATGTATGCACCCAGTATCAGAGCACCAAAACATGTAAAGCAAATATTGATAGATCTGAAGTATGAGATACGCTGCAAGAAAATAATAATAGATGAATTCAAGACTCCTACTTTCAATAATGAATCAATTATCTAGACAGAAAATATTAATAGATCTGAAGTATAAGATACACTGCAAGAAAATAATAATAGATGAATTCAAGACTCCCACTTTCAACAATGGATAAATTATCTAGACAGAAAATCGGTAGGGAAATAATGGATTTGGACAACGCTTTAGGCCAAATAGACCATAGATCGACCGAACAGACAAATACAGAAAATTCCATCCAGCAGCAGTAGGGTACACATTCTTCTAAAGTGCACAAGAAACGTTCTCCAGGAGAGATCACATTTTAGGCCACAAACAAGTTTTAACAAATTTAAGAAGCTTGAAATCATATCACCTATCTTTTCTGTCCACAAATGAATAAAAGTAGAAATCAGTAACAGGAAAAGTCTTGGAAAATTCATAAATACATGGAACTTAAACAACATGCTCACCACAACCAATGGGTCAAAGAAAAAAATTAAAAGTAAAATTAAAAAATATTTTAAGACAAATGAAAATGGAAACACAAGATACCATAAGTTATGGGATGCAGCAAAACTAGTTCTAAAATTGAAGTTTATACGTCAAAAAAGAAAGATCAAAAATAAATAATATTACGCCTCAAAAAAACTAGAAAAAGAAGAACAAACTAAGTCTAAAGTCAGTAGAAATATGGAAATAATAAATATCAGAGCAGAAATAAATGAAATAGAGACAAGAAAGACAATATAGTAGATGAATTAAGCTACAAGTGGTTCTTTGAAAAGATAGACTAAATGGACAAACTTTTAGCAAGACTAAACACAAAAGAAAAAAGACTCAAAATCAGAAATGAAAGAGAAGATATTACAAATATTACCACAGAAATATAAAATATCATGAGACTACTATGAATAATTAGAGTTACACACCAAGTTGGATAACCCAGGAAAAACAAGAAAGTTCTTAGACATATACAACCTACGAAGACTGAATAAAAACAAAATGGAAAATTTGAACAGATGAATAAGGAATAAGGAGATTGAATTAATAATAATAATAACAAAATCTCCCAGAAAAGCTCTGGAACAGATGCCTTCACAGCAGAATTCTACCAAGATTTATAGAACTAATACCCTCCTCAAACTATTTCAAAAAATTGAAGAAGTACATCTAAACTCATTTTACAAAGTCAGCATCAAAACATCACATTGTACCCCATAAATATACACAATTCTTATGCATCAACTAAAAAGAAATTTTAAAAACTTATTAAGAACCCATTGGGATGGGTTTAAAAGTTATTTGGACACATTGAAATACAAGATTAGTGAGTTAAAGATCGCTAAATTTAAAACATAAAAATTCAGATAAAAAAGAATGGACTGTGAGACATTACACAGATACACAAATATATAATATATGTATATATAATGAACATATAATATATAATGTCTCATTCTATTCTATTTTATTATCTGAAAAAGATATTGTAGGAATATATATATGTATGTATACATATATGTATGTATATGTATTCCTATAACGTTCTTATAATGCAATATTTTCCTCACAAACCAATAGCTCTCTATTTCCAAATCCCTGTGCTTGACATTTAAGGTGTTTCATTGAATAGTTTACTAAATGTCCTGCAGTACCCAGGACTTTATATCCTAATGTGCACAGAGAACATTAATACTGTCTTTTAGAAACTTGTATGTCTTTTAAATGTTAGCCGTTTTTAATGATTTTCCACAAGAAATTCCTCCAGTTAAAATCTCCCATAGTGGTCATCGCCATCACTGTATTTATTTTTATTTTTTTAGAGATAAGGTGTCACTCTGTTGCCAAGGCTGAAGTGTAGTGGCATGATCATAGTTCACTGTAAGCTTGATCTCCTGGACTCAAGCAATCCTCCCACCTCAGCCTCCTAAGTAGCTTGGACTACAGCTGCATGCCACCTCACCTGGCTAATTTTTTTTTAGAGATGAGGTCTCACTATGTTGCCCACGGTGGTCCCAAACTCCTAGCCTCAAGCGATCCTCCTGGCTCAGCCTCCCAAACTGTTCAGATTACAGGTGTGAGCCAGCATGTCCAGCCTATTTTTTAATAGTATTGTACTATTTAGTATGTATGTTTCATTGGCTTTGTTTGACTATAACATACCAAAGGACAGAGATTGAGTTTAATGTTTGCTAAGGATAAGTCAGAAACACAGCTGATCACACATTTCTGTGTCAGCATGAGACAAGCAAATAAATTGCTGAAGTGAAGCATCACAATTCCTGATTCTAAATAAAATAATTCTCTCAGGGGTTTTCTTTTCTTCTTTTCTTTTCTCTTTTCCTTTCTTTTTTTTTTTTTTTTGTGAGAGTCTCGCTCTGTCGCCCGGGCTGGAGTGTAGTGGCGTGATCTCGGCTCACTGTGCAAGCTCCGCCTCCCGGGTTCACGCCATTCCCCTGCCTCAGCCTCCGGAGTAGCTGGGACTACAGGCGCCCGCCACCATGCCCGGCCAATTTTTTTGTATTTTTAGTAGAGACGGGGTTTCACCGTGTTAGCCAGGATGGTCTCGATCTCCTAACCTCGTGATCTGCCCGCCTCGGCCCTCGAAAGTGCTGGGATTACATGCGTGAGCCACTGAGCCCGGCCTCAGAGGTTTTGTTTGTTTGTTTTTTGTTTTTTTGAGACGTGGTCTCGCTCTATCGCCCAGGCTGGAGTTCAGTGGCACGATCTCAGCTCACTGCAAACTCCGCCTGCCGGGTTCACGCCATTCTCCGGCCTCAGCCTCCAGAGTAGCTGGGACTACAGGCGCCCACCACCACACCCCGCTATTTTTTTTTTTTTTTTGGTATTTTTAGTAGAGACGGGGTTTCACCGTGTTAGCCAGGAAGGTCTCAATCTCCTGACCTCATGATCCACCCGCCTCGGCCTCCTAAAGTGTTGGGATTACAGGCGTGAGCCACTGTGCCCAGCCCCTTTCTTCACTTTCTCTCTTTGCTACCACCTGCCATTTGATACACTTATTTTTCTCACAAAGCCACACAAATATAAATGTATTAATGTAGCCTTTATGTGAGAAGGAGACGATACACCCATATATATGTCAGTCTGTGAAGGTATCTGTTTAGAAAAGTTATTCTAGAAGGAGAAAATTTAGTTTATTTCATCATTTAGTCACACATGTAATTAGTTTATTTTTAATATTTGGATTATTCATGGAATTTATACAACTCCTCACCTATGAACAAAGATCACTAAAATATCTGTCTGTTGTCCTGTCATTTTCCTCGTTTGCTTGCTTTGAATCTTGGCAGGCCTTTACTTCACTCATAAGTAATAAATGTGTTGCTATTGGCCAGTATGTTCATTCAAGCCAAAGAGAAAAGGAAGATATCCTTGTCCCAGTGAGAACGATTTCACACTGGAAACTGTCATTTACATTCTTTTCTGAGGTCAGGTGCCTCCTTACTAATTTAGTTACCTGTAATCTGACAAATACATTTTTCACAAATGATAGCTGTAAAGATGTTGTCTTTAGAAATCTGTGCATCCATGTGAAAACTGTCACCTCGCTCTTAAACATATCTTCATCTGAGAGAAGAAAATGATTCTAAAATTACAATGCTTTCTGTCAGTTGGGAAGTAAGGCACATAGCAGAAGCATTTAATTATTCTGACTGTTATCTCCTCAACCAGTTAATTTTCCTAAAGCAGGAACTCAGCTCCCTCGTGACTTTGGTTTTACAAATGGCAGCCTTCCTGACCTCAGGCTCCTTGCCTGCCCCGGGGATCTCCAGCTTCCACAGAGCCTGCGGACAGTGCCAGCGGTATTGCAGAGCCAGCCTTCTCTGCATCCTCACCAAGACCTGTCAGTTTCCAGTTCTGGGCTGCACCCATCCCCAGAGAGGGCCACTCTGCCTGCAGGCTTCCCTTTGGCATGCAAATCATGGTGACATCAGAGACAGGTAGCGCTGAACCCACGGAGAGTTTTTCACTTGGGTTTTTTTCCCCATGGAAGGAGAGAATCTATGGTGCTATTTTTATCTTGAGAAGCTTCTAGGTTGAAAATGAATGTAGGAAGAAAGATTTAGGTTCCAACATATAAAACCTTATTTTTCTCTCTCTTGCTTTATGGGAGTAGATAACGGGCTTTCCTGAAGAGCTGTGTAGGAAAGACTGACTTGTCCTAAATGAGCCTTGTCAATGACCAGGCTACCATTCTTCCAGGATACCTTCCTGTGCTAGAATGATACATTCTATCACTTCATCAACCAATATTTATTGAGAGCTTTTCTAAGTATAAGTATCCTGACATGGCTCCTGCTGTCAATGAGTTTTGAGTCTGGAGGGAGGATCAGAACTAACATTATGAGAAAATTAGTAAGCAATGCAAGCAACAAAGTGCTCAATTGAAAAGTGGAGCTTGAAAGGCTGTAAGAAGTACTGAAAATAATGAGTAAAGAAAACATTAAATTTCTTTTATAAACATCACAGTTTCTTAGGATTGAGAAACTGATTTTAATTCTTTCTTAACCAAGAGAAAATGAGACATTTACATTTCTTCTAAATAACGCCAAACATTCAGGTGAAAATTCAGGGAGAATAATTCTCACTTTTGGCAGGGTCATAAACGTCTACGTGTATGGGGTTAGGAATGTTGTGTGTGTTAGTGGCATGAGTTGGTAAGGGGCCATTAGGAGTGATGACCATTGTTGTAATCTGTAAATCCCATGCCTATCCCAAGGAGGCCCTGGCAATGCAAAGCCAACGTATCAGATTCTAAGGAAATCTAAACGATAGTTATTTTTTAATGTAATATTTCCCAATTTATTAACATCAGCAACAAAGAAAATTACTTTTAAAATGTAGTATGGACCAAGTGAAGTACATCTAGAGACTGAAAAAGTGCAGGAATTTTTAAAGCACAAATTATTTCCAAAAGACAGCCATTCTACACGCATATTGGGTGGTTTGTGGCAGTGCAGGTGGTGGGAAGAGGTAGGAGGGAAGTGGCAAGTCGGGAGCAGATTCTAGCAGAGAATGCGGGCTGTGGAGGAAAGGTGCTCTGCATCCCAGCAGTAATGAACGACTTTAAACAGGGACATGATGTGATCAAACTTGCATTTTCAGAACACTTTTTCTGGCTGGATATGGTCTGAAACACAGGTTGAAATGGACAAGACTGTTGTGAGGGGGATCAGTTAGAAAGATATATGTGTCACAACGCTAGAAGAAAACCTAGGCAATACCATTCAGAACATAGACATGGGCAAGGACTTCATATCTAAAGCACCGAAAGCAATGGTAACAAAAGCCAAAATTCGCAAATGGGATCTAATTGAACTAAAGAGCTTCTGCACAGCAAAAGAAACTACCATCAGAGTGAACAGGCAACCTACAGAATGGGAGAAAATTTTTGCAATCTACTCATCTGACAAAGGGCTAATATCCACAATCTACAAAGAACTCAAACAAATTTACAAGAAAAAAACAAACCACCCCATCAAAAAGTGGGCAAAGGATATGAACAGACACTTCTCAAAAGAAGACATTTATGCAGCCAACAGACACATGAAAAAACGCTCATCATCACTGGCCACCAGAGAAATGCAAATCTAAACCACAATGAGATACCATCTCACACCAGTTAGAATGGCAATCATTAAAAAGTCAGGAAACAACAGGTGCTGGAGAGGATGTGGAGAAATAGGAACACTTTTACACTGTTGGTGGGACTGTAAACCAGTTCAACCATTGTGGAAGTCAGTGTGACGATTCCTCAGGGATCTAGAACTAGAAATACCATTTGACCCAGCCATCCCATTACTGGGTATATACCCAAAGGAATATAAATCATGCTGCTATAAAGACACATGCACACGTGTGTTTATGTGGCACTACTTGCAATAGCAAAGACTTGGAACCAACCCAAATGTCCAACAATGATAGACTGGATTAAGAAAATGTGGCACATATATAAAAAAGGATGAGTTCATGTCCTTTGCAGGGACATGGATGAAGCTGGAAACCATCATTCTCAGCAAACTATTGCAAGGACAAAAACCAAACACTGCGTGTTCTCACTCATAGGTGGGCATTAAACAATGAGAACACTTGGACACAGGAAGGGGAACATCACACACCGGGGCCTGTTGTGGGGTGGGGGAAGGGGGGAGGGATAGCATTAGGAGATATACCTAATGTAAATGACGAGTTAATGGGTGCAGCACACCAACGTGGCACGTGTATACATATGTAACCTGCACGTTGTGCACATGTACCCTAGAACTTAAAGTATAATTAAAAAAAAGAAAGATATATGTGTCATATACATATACACACATATATATACATATACACAAATATACACACACATATGATTAGGTAATAAGTCTACATAGGTTGATGTAAAGAAAGCTATATAGATTTATTTATAAGGTAAATATCTGTACCTGTCTATCTATCCATCCAACTATCTCATCTATCCATATATGATTTCCTCTGGCAAGAGCATTATAAAGTACAAAGTCAAAACATCTTTTGCCATTGACAAATTAGGATAAGATCAGAAGCGAAAATCTCATTTCTTTTCAATAACTATGTTTCTGATTACAAATGAATTCCCTATAGAAAATTTAGAACGTTCAGAAAGGCATAGTGAAAATAATTGCAACAACTCATTGTACCACCTTCATCATTACCAAGTGTTTAAAGCGTGCCTCACTGAATGCACCTAAGAACAGGAACATGGTGGGGCGCTGCTGGGGACTGTGCTTACAGATTGGCTTGTGGTCACTGTGGGACATACCTTTAGGACCCTCCAGAAAACATTAGTGGGGACAAGAACATTTTAACAGAGCTAAATCCTGTGGCCAACTGTCTTCATCTATTTGTGCTGCTCTAACAAATACATGAGACTGCGTCATTTTAAACAGAAATGTATTTCCTCACAGATCTGGAGGCTGGCACATTTAGGATCAAAGTGGCAGCAGGTTTGGTGTCTGATGAGGGCTGTTCGCTGCTTCCAAGATGGCACCTTGTTGCCGCATCCACCTGTGGCAGAAAGGGGGAAGGTTGTGCCCTCACATGGCAGAAGGCAAAAGAACAAGAGAGGGTTGACCCAGTGTGAAGCCTCTCTCATATGGGCCTCAATACCATTCATGAGGGAGGAACCCTCGTTACCTAACCACTTGCTAAAGGCCCCACCTCTTAATACCATTGCATAGGGGAAGAAGTTTCAACATGAATTTTGGAGGAACAGAAACGTTCAAGCTGTAGCATCATTCTCAAGCTTGGAGGTTTGTGCTACAATTATTCAGATATGATCAAATAAGAGTAAACTATTCATAGGCTGCTGAGCCATGGCACGTGTAGTTTATAAAAACAACCATAATAATTTATTTCAGATTTAGTACTTAAAAACCTAGAATTATTTTGTCAAAGGATATGTCCATTTTAAGACTTCTGTTAAATACATCCATTTCCCAGACAGACAGTACTAAATTGTAATTCCTCTCATTTCCCTGAATCCTCATCAAAATTCATGATTAGTGTTTGTGGCTGATTGTATTTTCCAAAATGGCCGCAAAATGTCCCTACATTCTTCTTACCATGTGACTTTGACACTGCTCCCCTAAAGAAGTCAGGGCTATCTTCTCTCCTTATGATATTAGGGGGACTCATGACTAGCAAAAGCAATGCAGGCTTGCATCCAAGGCCAGAGCATAAACAGAGTTTCTATTTGACTTTTCTTGGGACACTTGGTTTTGGAAAACAGCCACCATGTAGTGAGAAAACCGAACAGTCACATGGAGAGGCTGTATATAGGCGTTTGGTTGACAGCCCAATCTGAGATTCCAGAAAACATGCATTCACTGGCAACGAACAGACCTGCTAGTGAATGAGTCTTCCCAGCTGAGCACCTGGACACTGTGGAGCAGAGAGAAGCTGTCCCTGCTGCGCCTTTTCTGAATACCTGACCCACAGAATCCATGAGCATGATAATAAAATGATCCATCTTTTACACCACTAAATTTGGGGCACATTTTACACATAGCTAGAGAAAACATTGTCTGTATGTGTGTGCGTGTTTTACATTCTTCAACAGTTTGTAAGATAAAACATGGTGGCTCATTGATGTGTAAATTGCGTTTTCTCAATTTTCTATTAAGCAAGATTTCTTTCTTCTAAATTTCACCTTCCTCCCATCCTCCCTCCCTCCCTCTCTTTCCCTCTTTCTTTCTCTTTCTTTCCTTTCTTTCCTTCCTTCCTTTCTTTCTCTTTCTTTCTTTGTCTTTCCTTCCTTCTTTCTTCTTCTTTCTTCTCTCCTTCCTTCCTTCCTATTACTTTCCATATGTATTACTTTTAAGAATTATTTTCTCACTAATAACTGTAATTTTGTAAAAGATTATTATATTCTCCATCACCTGTGATTCACTAATGACATACATGCACCTTTATTATTATAATATATTATAATATCATCAGTAGAATTGTACATTATAAGAGGGAGGATAATATAAGAAACTCAAATGAACAAATTAGATTTGTCCTCTATCTCTCATCTTTTTCCACGACAAATGATGTCAGGAAATTTTCTTATGACTATCTACACTTTCTGAGTCTGCCCAGAAAAGCCATGGTAGAGGGCACATTCTCCATCAACTAGTATTTCTACTATCCCGTGTGCAGGTCTGGAGATGACCATATGATAATATTATCTCAGTATTTCAGATAGTGGAGGCTTGGCTTTGCAGTTGATCTCAGTCTTACAATAAATGGTGTGCTACTGCAATTTCCCTCTCAGATAATCCAGAGAAAAGTGATAAGGTGAGAGACACAGGACTTGAGTCTCACTTATTTTTGAATATAGGAAGAAAGCTAATATTCTGCATAAGATCCGACGTGTGTTTTATATAGCACCATGGATCTACAAAGGTGTAAAGAGTCCAGGAGGAAGTCAGGTGTGAAGCAAAGGTATATATTGCACCTCCTGTCATTCCTCACTGGCCCAGGCAAGATTTTGTGTTTGCTACTGTGATTTTGATGACAAAATGTGTGCATCTTTATCTAAACATCCTCTAGACATGGCTTATTATGTGGATGGTCATGTAAGAATGTTTCAAGTACGCTACACATAAGGATCTGAGTCCGCTGAGCCTGAACCCTGCCCCTGATCACCACAGAAGGAATCCTTCTTGATTGCCCATCTTCTTCCCTGAATATGAGCTCCAAGAAGGAAGATACGTGGTCTGATTGTTCACCGCTGTATTCCCAGCATCTGGGATGATGTCTATATATAATAAACACATATTTATTTGAATGAATAAATGTATTCTAGATTATTCCAAAAATGTTCAGACCCATACCTAGCCTATTCCAGTATACAATACAAACAATAGATAACAAGATAAAATGATTTCTAAACTGTTTAGATCTATTGAGTATTTGCCACGTAGTCCATAGCCACAAATGTTTGAAATCCCTTCTTCATCTTTATTTCCAGTACCATTATTTCAGACACTTCCAAATCCCAGAAATCTCACCACAAAACATTATAACACAGGTTTGTCAGATTTTGTTACAGAATTAGGGAACCTTTTTTTTCTTTGGTATGCTTAAAAGATTCACATTGAGAGATCTTCCAGATTCTTCCTGGGACAAGTAAGTTAAGGAAACCCCATTATCTAAGTAATACTCTAAACAGAAAACGAGAAAAGGATCTGAAAGTTAATGATTATCCTACATGTTAATCCCATGCTACATGTTATAAAATATGTGTACATATGTATACGTTGATCCTTTCAGCAAACTTATGTTTAACCCTATCAACCAGAAGCTACTACAGATTTGCGAGCTCTTTAAAAAGCAAGAACAAATGCACTTGCTTTCTCAAGTCACCCGTTGGCCCTCTTCCAAGCCTGCCTGCCTGCCTTCCTTCCTTCCTTCCTTGTTCCTTCTTCCCTCCCTCTCTCCTTCCCTCCTTCCCTTCCTCCCTCCTTCCTTCCCTGCCCTTCCCTTACTGTTCTAAAGCTTTTAATAAATTTTCACTTCTGCCCTGAAAAACAAGTAAGAACATAGAATAGTAATTACAAAAATAAATATAAAAGTAAATATAACTTTTAAATGTAAGAAGAAATCAACAGTTACAAATTTACAAAAGCTTACATATACAGTCTAGAAAAGCAGCATGATTTATTTACCTGAAACACACTTTCATCACACTATTTTCCCTATTCGTTTTTTTTTCTTTTACTGCATACATTTGGTTACCATTTCCTAGTCTTTTCTATAGCATTTTCTATGAGAGTGTGTGTCTTAGTCTGTTTTGGCAGCTATAACCAAATATCTTAGACTGGGTAATTTGTAGACCACAGAAATTTATTTCTCACAGTTCTGGAGGCTGAAAAGTCCAAGATCAAGGCACCAGCAAATCCAGTGTCTGATAAGAACCCACTTCCTCATAGACAGCTGTCTTCTCACTCTTAACCTCACATGCAGAACTGAATAAACTCCCTTGGGGATTTTTTATAAGGGCACTAATCCCATTCATGAAGGCTGAGCCCTCATGACCTAATCACCTTCCAAATGCCCCACTTCCTAACACAGTCAAGTAAGTCTAAAATCCAACAGGACAAAGAAATCCATGAAATATTAAGGGTTGAGAGCAGTCTTCTTTGACTCCATGTCCTGCCTTCTGGAATCACTGGGGCAGGGGATGGGCCCCAAGGATCCAGGCACTGATCTCGTGTCTTTTCTGGGCAAAGCCCATATGACAGCTCTCAGAGGTTGGACTCTGGTGCCTGTAGCTCTCCCCACGCTGGAATCTCATACCCATGATTCTACAAGTTTGGGGTCATGGGGGTGGCCCTGCACCCACAATTCGACTAAGTACTACCCTAGTGGGGGCTCTCTGCAGTGACCCTGGACCTGTGGCAGTTCACTGCCTGAGTCCCAAGGCTCTCCATGGCATCCTTTGAAGTGTAGGTGGAGGTAGCCATGCCTCCACAGCTCAGGCATTCTGAGCACCTGCATAATTACCACCATGTGATGGTCACCACGGTTTACCACCTATGTCCTCTGGAGGTGCAGCTCCAGCCACACTTGGGTCAATAAACACTGCATTGGATTTCAGGGTGGGGATACTTGGAATCATTCTTCCCCCATGGCCCTGGCATTCTGGGCCTGTGATGAGCAGGGCAGACCCAAAGATCTCCAAAATGCCTTCAGGGACACTCTTTCATTGTCTTGATGAATAGCATCTGGCTTCCTTCTATCCATCCTAATCTTGCAATCAGACTTTCGCTTGGCCACACCCTAGTTGTTCTCTCCTGAACACATTTTCTCATTTTTTACAAAATTAGAATTCTCCAAATTTTTAGATCCTGCTTTCCTTTTGATTATAAATTTCATATTTAAATTATTTCTTCCTTCCTGCATTTTACAATAAGCAGTCAGTAGAGGCCATACCACACCCTGAACACTTGGCTTAGGTGTTACTTTCACCAAATATCCAATTTCATCACCCACAAGCCCTGCCTTCCCCAAAACACAAGGACATGAATACAATCCAGCCATATCCTTTGGCACTTGGTAACAAGGATCACGATTCCTCCAGTTTTCAATAATACGTTCCTCATTTCCATCCAAGACCTCATTAGAATGTTCTTTACTGTTCACATTTCTACAACATTCTCATCACTACCACTTAGGTAAACTTTAAGAAGACTGAGGCTTTCTCTACAGCTCTCCTTTTCTTTTGAGCCCTCACCAAATCCACTCTTACTGCTTTGCTCACAGTAATATAGGCTGTTTTTAGCATGCACCTGCAAACCGTTTCAGTCTCTGCTTATTACCCAGTTCCAAAGCTGCCTCCACATTTTTAGGCATTTCTTAGAGAAGCACCCCACTTCTTTGAATCAATTTCTTAGTTTGTTCTAGCTGCTGTAGCAACATATCTTAGACCGGGTAATTTATAAACAACAGAAATTTACTGCTCATAGTTCTGGAAGCTGGAAAGTCCAACATCAAGATGTTAGCAGACTCAGTGTCCGTAGAGAGCCCACTCCTCATAGGTGATGCCTACTATGTGTCCTCGAATGGTGGAGGAGCCCATCAGGGATCTTTTATAATGGCATCAATCCTGTTCATGAAGTTGGAACCTTCATGACCCAATCACCTCCCAAAGTCCCCACTTCTTATTACTATCACATTGGGGATTAAGTTTCCAAATATGAGATTTGGGGAGACAAAAGATTCATACCACAGCAGTCTAGAAAAACAATTTAGTCTTTCTTTTGGCATAGTTGATCAAAATATGTTTCTTATTTTGATTGTTAGAATAATTATTGGCCGGGTGCGGTGACTCATGCCTGCAATCCCAGCACTTTGGGAGGCTGAGGCGGGCAGATCACGAGGTCAGGAGACCGAGACCATCCTGGCTAACATGGCGAAACACTGTCTCTACTGAAAATACAAAAATATTAGACGGGAGTGGTGGCAGGCGCCTGTAGTCCCAGCTACTCGAGAGGCTGAGGCAGGAAAAAGGCGTGAACCTGGGAGGCGGAGCTTGCAGTGAGCCGAGATAGTGCACTCATGCCTGGGCGGCAGAGCGAGACTCCATCTCAAAAAAAAAAAAAAAAAAAAAAAAAAAAAAAAGAAAAAAGAAAAATTATTTCACCTTCACAACTTACTAATGGGAATGTAAAATAAATATTTAGGATGCTGTCAAATTTGCAAAAAATTCTATCAAGTTTATGTAATTTATGAGCTCTAAGGTTTGGAGGACATGCCTCCATCTTCATGCAAATTATACCTGTTCCTTCTGCCTATGATGTATTTTAGCAGTGTGTATCATTGGACTCTCTGGGGTCTAGTGTAATGGAATAGACAAGTTGCATTACATCCTGACCTCTGTCTTTGCACCTCTGTGTCACAATGTCAAGTGTAAACTGTGTAAATACACACTAAATTCCTATTTAAATGTATCTCGGGTTCAACTTTTTCTTAGCAGTTTCCAAAATGCCCTGGGTCATTTCAGTGCTGCCTGACATGAAGTGAAGTGTGCTGGAAAGGAAGATGGAATGAAAAGATGAATTGACTTTACCAAGAGCAAATAAAATATTATACTTGGAGGTGAGGGTGGGGTTGGGGGAGAAGAAATCTACTATATTGGAGTATTTATGTTCTAATTCTGACTCTGCCATTTACTAGCTATGTAACATAAGGCAAGTGACTTAACCTCTCTGTGTCTTTGTTTACCATACACGTCTTCATAAGTTGTTGTGATAATTAAATTAAATAGTTATTAAGTACTTAAAACAGTGTCTGGCATAGCAAAGTATTCACAAAATGTTCTCTGTTTTCCTTGTGTGAAACACTGTATCTGACTGCCAGGGATGGTAGAGTAGCCAATAGCCTTTTCTACAAAATGTTTTATACTTAACTATGAAAGCCAAGATGAAATAACAATGGAAAGGCCAAGTCTCTGAAAAATAAGAGGGGGTAACAGATATTACCCCTGCATTACTTGGCTGAAAATTCGTTGTTCTTGCTCCACAAGTAATATAAAAAGAGGTATTTTAAAAATTAAGGGGGCTAACCGGGCACGGTGGCTCACGCCTGTAGTCCCAGCACTTTGGGAGGCCGAGGCGGGTGGATCACGAAGCTAGGAGATCGAGACCATCCTGACTAATACGGTGAAACCCCGTCTCTACTAAAAATACAAAAAATTAGCCGGGCGTTGTGGCGGGCGCCCGTAGTCCCAGCTACTCCGGAGGCTGAGGCAGCAGAATGGCGTGAACCCAGGAGATGGAGCTTGCAGTGAGCCGAGATTGCGCCAGTGCACTCCGGCCTGGGTGACATAGCGAGACTCTGTCTCAAAATAAAATAAAATAAAATAAAATAAAATAAAATAAAATAAAATAAAATAAAATAAAATAAAATAAAATAAATAAAAATTAAGGGGACTGGGCACGGTAGCTCACGCCTGTAATCCCAGCACTTTGGGAGGCCGAGGCGGGCGGATCACGAGGTCAGGAGATCGAGACCATCCTGGCTAACACGGTGAAACCCCGTCTCTATTAAAAATACAAAAAATTAGCCAGGCGCGGTGGCACGCCTCTGTAGTCTTAGTTGCTCGGGAGGTTGAGGCAGGAGAATCGCTTGAACCTGGGAGGAGGAGGTTGTAGTGAGCCGAGATCGCGCCACTGCACTCCAGCCTGGGTGACAGAGCGAGACTTTGTCTCAAAAAAAAAAAAAAAAAAAAAATTAAGGCAGAGAGATTAAGGTTGGGAACAGATGTAGATGCTAACCCATCTAACAGCCTGCTCCGGTGTGATTATTTGGGCTTATATTTTTCATTTTATTCGTTTTTTGTGTGCTGGCATTGACAGCTCCACAAGGAAAAGGGTAAGAGAATTAGTTAAATGATGCACCAAGATAAAACTTACCCTAAATGTATCCAATATAAAAAAGTGAAATAAAAGTGTTGATGAAACAGTGAGCCTCTCGCACTGCAGTGTTCCTATGCAGTATTTAATTCTGCCTCTAAATATTGTTATAGGCACATAGAACATGTGACTTTTAAATAATAGGGAAAAACAAACCAAGAAACCTGGAAAAGGTCTTCAAATTTCTACTCATGAAATGGGACCTAAGGATCTGGTTTAGTTTTTTTCCCTTCACTCTTTCTAGGCCCCTAAAGTTTCTTCTTCTTCTTTTTTCTTTTCTTAACTAATACAAGAAGGAGTATGGAACAGATAAGGAAAAATAAAAGGGTGACGGGAACTTTCACCAAGAAAATTACACCTGTTCATTTTTGGGGAAAAAATCAGAAAAGCAAACTTAAAAATTCAATGCTTGCTAGACTTCATTCCCAATAAAACTTTTGCAAATGGCATAAAATTATTCAAGGGCCATTTGAATTGCAGGGCTCCAAGCCGAGCAGCCTGGCTGTTTTCACATGTGCTGATACTTTGAACTTTCCCTTGCCTATATTTATTCAACAGATGGCAAGGCTTGTGATAGGATCAAACAGCCTTCTGAGAAGAGAGAAGCTCCCTTTCTGCAGGGAACCTGTCAGGTAGCCCTCTCTGCTGGTAAACAAATAGATGGGCTCATGCGGGTCCCAAGGGAATGAACTCAGGCAAGCCACAGAGGGCAAAAAGAGCCACATGGAGAAGGAGAAGCAACTGAATTTCAAAAGGCTTACTTGCAGAAAGGGGCCTAAGAAATCCAGACTAAGACCCCAAAATCACAATTAAAACTGTCTGCCAATCATGTGCATTTTATATTAAAGAATACTTTATGTCTAGAACACAAGTCAATAAATCACAAAAATACACCTTGAATCTTTCTTTTAAATAAAGATACATTTACAAAATGACATTTTTCATTGCCTTTTATTAATTCTCCCTTAAAAAAGAATCAACCCTGTGAGTCACATTAGCTGGGAAACTACGGGGAACACCCCGGGTGGTTGGAATTTTGCAGGTAAACTTGGAGTTTTATTTTCCTTATTCAGCAAAGCCATTTTTCTGTGAACTCAGATTAAATAGAAAAATGAATTTATTAAAACCAATGCCTTATTCTTTTTTTTTTTTTTTTTGAGATGGAGTCTCACTCTCTCGCCCAGGCTGGAGTGCAGTGGCGTGATCTTGGCTCACCTCAAGCTCCGCGTCCTGGGTTCATGCCATTCTCCTGCCTCAGCCTCCCGAGTAGCTGGGACTACAGGCACCCGCCACCACGCCCAGCTAATTTTTTTGTATTTTTGGTAGAGATGGGGTTTCACTGTGTGTTAGCCAGCATGGTCTCGATCTGCTGATCTCGTGATTCACCCACCTTGGCCTCCCAAAGTGCTGGGATTACAGGCATGAGCCACCGCGCCTGGCCAAAACCAATGCCTTATTCTTAAAAGGTAGAAGTATTTTAAGTGGGCTCTCACTCAAGTTAAATACGATAGAGTATTATCGCCCTTGTTTTTCCCTTTGTGTGATTAGAACTAAAAGTATTAACTCAAGACTAAGGTATAGTATTTGGTATATACACAGTAGTATAATTTTAAAGAAAATAGAGATAGTCTCTTATCTCACTTGTTGGAGAATTAATGTGTCAAATGTCAAACACCTATAATGACCGAAGAAGAGAGCTAGGTTTGGAGATAGAGTGGAAAAGTGAACTGAATTAGAATTATTCCTTATTAATATCTAAAGTTGTTTCTAAAAACTTAAAAAATATGTTGAAGAATAAGCAAACTATTTGATGCAGAGCCTACAAATCCTAAGGAATTGGTTACTTCTAATGCTATATGAGCAGACAGTAAGTATAAGTGTATGTGGATCTCAATGATAGAACTCTCTTGGAGTATTGGCATGCAGGATCTATATTTGAGGTTTCTCCGGCTCTTGAATCTGAGGCAGTGAATCCTGCAGTTTTCCACTCAGATCCTCTCTGCAGGACTAAGGGACTCGCCCCAGCTCCTGCAGCCACCATCTGCTTCTCTCACAAGGAAATTGCCCTTAGCCATTGGGAATTGCCTTGCCCAGTGTGTGAGGTGAACTGGGCCTCAGCGGCATTCAGATCACAGGTGAGCTGCTCCCTGGCCCTTCCTGCTGCCCTCACTTACTTACAGGTGCATCTCCCAAAAGCAAGAAGACCCACCTTTGAACAACAATGGGTTTCAGATTATGGAGAAGGAGAGTAAGAAGGCTTTGAACTTGAGGCAAGATAACACAAAGTTATTTGATTATGGAAACTTGGTGAGAGCAGGTGTGTTGTTGTTTTATTTTGTTTGTTTACTCCCATAACTCCAGTATCTAGAGCAGTGTTTGCCACTTGATAGGTGCTCATTAAGTACTGCAGAAATAAATGAATGAACACATTTTAAATGTACCTTTTTCAAGTTCTAGATTATTTTCTGCTACGAGAGCAGAGACTGAAAAGTGATTGTTGGAAAAGGGGATAACAGTAAATGGGGAATCCTGTGGCCAGCTTGCTTATGATTTAAGAGATTGTACTACCATTGGATTGGAAGCTTTCTTATTTTGCTAAGAAACTGGGAAGAAAGTTTTTGTGGATTCGTTTCACTACAGATGTGTATAATGATCTTCATTTAACAATATAAATGTGTATCTATTATGGGTAAGGATGTATGGGGTCACATCCAGGTAACTGTCCAGAATAAGTCTCAGTGTCACCTAGGGAATCACATGATAAATAACAAGTCAAGGTTATCTAACGTCATTATCTAAAATGTGAAATTTCTTTTAATTATACAATTAAAAGTATAAGACAAACAAATATTGCCTTAAGATTATTGAAAAGCAACATCTATAGCCAAGTTTCCAACATTTTCCAGAACCTATTCATATCCAAAAGCATTCAACTTCATATCAGCCATTGTCTCTTTTCCATGTTTCTAGTCTCCATGCTCTGTACCTGTGATAGAGATGGTGCTTTTTTTTATCCTGTGGCTGAGTTTATCTTGCCATTTCCTGTATTTCTGATCTCTCACTGTAAGTTGTTCTTGCTCAGAGAAAGTAAACTCCCATTCCTCAGAATATAAAATTAGGAAAATGAATGAAGTAGATAAAAGTTCTTCCAAGTGAACTATTTCCATAGCCAAAATATGAAATCAACCGAAGTGCCACCAGTGGATGAATGGATAAAGAAAACGAAGCATATATACACAATGGAATATTATTGAGCCACAAAAAGAATGAAGTCCTGTTATTTCCAGCAACATAGATGGAACTGGAGGTCATTATGTCAAGTGAAATAAGACAAGCCCAGAAAGACAAATATCACATGTTCTCACTCATGCATGGTAACTTAAAAACTGCATACCATGAAGACAGAGAGTAGAATGGTGATTACAAGAAGCCAGGAAGGGTAAGGGAAGGGATGATGAAGAGAAATTAATTAATGGATACAAATATATGGTTTGATGGAAGAAAGAAGACATAGTGTTCAATAGATCAGTAAAGTGAGTATAGTTTACAATAATCTATTGTACATTTAAAAATAGCTAAGAGAGAATAATTCAAATGTTTCTAACATAAAGAAAGCACAAATATTTAAGGTAATGAATATCCCAATCTTTAGAAATTATATGAAATTAAATATTACATATACCCCCAAACTATGTAAACCTATTATGCATTAATAAAAAATTGTTTTAGAAAATATTCTTACAAGTATCTATTTCTGTGTTTGTGAATGTGGGTATGTGTATGTTTGCAGTGTGTGGGCACACATGTCCCTTGTAGGGTTAACTGAGGTACTCCTTTTTATTCCATGGAAAACGTAAGACTATTGGCCCAAGTCCATGGGCTTGCAGGTGGCCCTCATGTTTAAGAAGAAACCAAATATCTATAAGCACAATAGTATCAGGGCTGTCATTAAACAAGGAATTCAATGAACTATATGAATAAAAGAATGTGTCTTCATCATGGAAGACTGGATCAGTTTTCTTTAGAAAAAATAAATCAGTGGGGCCAGGAGTGATGACTTGGGTAAAGCCAGTGGTAGATTTTCGTGACCTCATTTCCTCATTCCTCAAACTCATTTCAAAGCCAGCAAAATATAAACATAGAAGGAAGCATCGCCTGCAATGATCTAAATAATACATCTCACACTCACCCCTAAGCAACCAGGTAGTCACATAAAGTTACAGCTTGTTTTTCTTCTTCTCTGTCCTGCTTCGGGGTGCTTTCCTGACCCTTCAGTAAAAGAAATGCTCACACTTCCACTGAAGTTAACTACAGGTTGGTCTCATAAAGTAAGATCTAACTATATTTATCTAATACCACTCTGGTCCTCCTCTGGTTGCCTACAGAAAGATCTTGGGATCCATGGGACAAACAAACATGCCCTTCCTGAGCCAGTGAGTCCCATTCTAGGCACCATTACAGTTACTTGGGATGCAGAACAGCCTGCTGAAATAACCCCAAGCCCACTTCCAGAACCTGTGCAAGCTTCCTCTGTGAGTCAAAATTTTCCACCCCAGTATGGAGTTCCAAGGGGGTGGAGAAGATATTGTTGTTTGGTGGAAGCAATGGAGGTAGGTATTGGAACTCCAATTGGAAGTTGGGGTGCAGAATGGGGGCAGAGATAGAAAAAAAGAGATGAGGGGGGTGCCAACTATAGGCCTGGCACCATCTTTACCTGCAAATGTTAGGACCACACCTGGACTCAGGAGAGGGAAAACTCCTTGTTCTTTTTCACTAGGCATAGCACCATCAGAGAGAAGAAAAGTTGGACCATGAGGTAAAAGAACCTCTGTATCAAATAACCTTTTTACTCCACCTTTAGCATGAGATAAGGAGACCAATTTATTAGATCTTTACCACGGGGTACAGAAAAAGATCACACACACACACACACACACACACACACACCCCACATGGTTTAGAAAGAAGAGTCTGCCACAGAGAGGTAGGATAGGGGAGGACACAGAAAAGTAAAAGAAGAGACATAGTTCTTAAGCAATAATTACTTAAAATAGCATCCTGGAGCCATTTTCCATAATTGTGTTATTTTGCATTTTATAAAGATGACTTTGTACTTACGGCAACACCTTGAATCCTTCCTCAATCTTGAATGGGGATGATTTGGGTAGAGAGTGAAGGAAATGTAACAGGAGAGCAGCTGTGAGTGGAGGTGACATTTTTAGAATTATGTAGGTGACCACAAGTATTTAAGTTCCTGGAAATCCAAAGTGTTCCGAAAGGGATGCTGGGATTTATTGATTTATCAAATAGCAACTCTTTTAACAGAAACCTTATCCCACAGTGTGTGTAATTGGGGAGGTATCCAGTCTGGTTCTGTTAAATATGAAAGAGAAGAAAATCCCAAGAATTTTCTGTCTGTAATAATAATGGCATTGACTTTATAGCATTGTTGAAAGCAAGAAACAAGCCAATATATGCAATTCACTCATAGCAGTGCCTGTGACATATTAAGTACTCAATAAGTTTTAGTTGCAGCTACTATTACTACTAATATTATTTCTCCAACTTTTTTTCTCATCTCTAAAATGAAGAGATTAAATAAATAATGAATTATATTCAGCTTCTAAGATTCTATAATAAAACAAATAAAGTAGTAGTTTGTACCATTATTATTTTGAATTACCCATAGCTAAAGATAATATTTCTTTTAAACCTTTTTTCTTTGTTTTTATGAGGGCTTTTTCAATCATGTCCTTTGCAGTATATATATATACATTTTTTTTTTTTGAGATGGAGTCTCACTCTGTTGCCCAGGCTGGAGTATAGTGGCACGATCTTGGCTAACTGCAACCTCCGCCTCCCGGGTTCTAGCGATTCTCCTGCCTCAGCCTCCTGAGTAGCTGGGACTACAGGCGCCCGCCACCATGCCTAATATATATATATATATGTGTATAGTAGAGATGGGGTTTCACCATGTTGGCCAGGCTGGTTTTGAACTCCTGACCTCAAGTGATCTGCCCACCTCGGCCTCCCAAAGTGCTAGGATTACAGGCATGAGACATCCCGCCCAGCCCTTTGCAGTATAAATTCTTTTTTTTTTTTTTTTTTTTTTTTTTTTTTTGGAGACAGAGTCTCGCTCTGTCGCCCAGGCTGGAGTGCAGTGGTGCGATCTCGGCTCCCTGCAAGCTCTGCCTTCTGGGTTCACGCCATTCTCCTGCCTCAGCCTCCTGAGTAGCTGGGACTACAGGCGCCCACCACCACGCCCAGCAAATTTTTTTGTATTTTTAGTAGAGAGGGGTTTCACCGTGTTAGCCAGGATGGTCTCAGTCTCCTGACCTCGTGATTCACCTGCTTCGGCCTCCCAAAGTGCTGGGATTACAGGCGTGAGCCACCATGCACGGCCTGCAGTATAAATTCTACGAATGTGAAGCTGCTTGCTTTTTCTTACTGGAAACTTTATTTTGAAAGAAAAAAATATCCATTTAGAGTAATTACCTAGACTTGTGATTTTAATTTCAGGAACTCAGATAATGCTCTCAGATACAGCCATCTAACCCCCCCAACTCTCTCCTAGCTTTTGAGAAAATCAGCTCAAACTTAATTCATACTGTATTCAGAAAAATAGTGATTCCTGAAATTGATACAGTTCTTTCAATTTGAAAATTACTGATTTAATTCTCTTTGTTTTCTTTTTCTTTTTAGTGATGGGGACTCTGTCACACAGGCTGCAGTGCAGTGGTGTAATTATAGCTCACTGAAACCTCAAATTTCAGGCCTCAGCCTCCTGAGTCTGGGACTGCAGGCATGCACCACTATGCCCAGCTAATTGTTTTAGCTTTTTGTAGAGTTGGAGGTCTATGTTGCCCAAGTTGTTCTCAAGCGATCCTCCTGGCCTCAAGTGATCCTCCCGCCTCAGCTTCCCATAGTGCTGGGATTACAGGCGTAAACCACTGCGCCCAGCCCTAATTCCTTACTGATAACAAAAGACATGGATTTCAGCTGGATGGGCTGTCAGGGCAATTGGAGAACATGCAGACTTGTTGAAGTGTCTAAGAACAGACAGTAAGACACTAAGAGTCAATATTCAAGTCTGAAGAATAACTTATTTAAAACAACGTCCACTGGAATAGAATAACTTCACACAGATTGGGCAATTTTCGTTTTTATTTTATTTTATTTTATATTTATTTATTTATTTATTTATTTATTTATTTATTTATTTTTTGAGACAGAGCCTTGCTCTGTCGCCCAGGCTGGAGTGCAGTGGCGTGATCTCAGCTCACTGCAAGCTCCACCTCCCGGGTTCACACCATTCTCCTGCCTCAGCCTCCCGAGTAGCTGGGACTACAGGCCCCTGCCACCATACCCAGTTAATTTTTTTTTTTTTTTTGTATTTTTAGTAGGGCAGGGTTTCACCATGTTAGCCAGGATGGTCTTGATCTCCTGACCTCGTGATCCGCCCGCCGGCCTCCCAAAGTGTGGGAATTACAGGCAGGAGCCACCGAGCCCGGCCAGGTTGGGCAATTTTCAAAGCTTAGATTATATATTGAGTATTAAAGCACACCCACTCTACTACCAAATTTTCAGACACTTTAGGCTAAATGAGGTAGGTTAAGGAAAATACCCTTACTGGTTGAGTGTTTTTAAGCTTAGGATAACCTATGAACCTATGAGACTCTTTTTCAATTAGTAGATGCTCAGTAAACTCTAGCCCACTGAGATAATTCTCTTGTCTGGCAAGTTAGTCCTGCAGGGGATTCAGAATCACCTCTAATGCTATTCAATACCCCAAGGCCTCAAAGAAGATGCACCATGAGTTAACACATCATGAGTGACTCCTGCCTGAGTAACTCATTGGCCTCATCACAAAACAGATTTAAAGCAATTATCTAGTTCATTACCCAGAAGTGATCTGTTCACCTTCCTCAGGACTCTAGCCAAACCAGCTGTTCACAAACCAGGCCCTAACTCCCCAGCACAGATGGCGAGTTACCCTTAATATGCCTGTTGGAAAGTAACATCTGTAATAGGCTAAGCTACCCCAGTATGGCCTTTAGGGACTATTCAAGCATTCTCACCTACTAGTGGTATTTTCTACAAAAAGTGAAATGTGTATTTCAAATCCTGAAAATCGCTGAAATAGTTGGGCCAAGGGAATAAAGTTACAGCCTGGAGTCAGGAGATGTGAACAGAGTTCATTTCTCTGCCACACCACCACCAATTTATTGCACAACCTTGGGCAAGTTGGTTAACCTTGACCGATGTATTATTTATTGAACAAAATGGTGTTCTAGGAGACAGGAAAGGTTCCTAATGGATTCCATGTGTAGATATAGATAAAGATATAGATCTGTAAGGCATACAGGAGAGAACTGGGGCTTCCTGACTAGATTAATGGCCAGGGCTGATCAAGAACACAGAAGGAAAAGGCTACACTTTTGGTGTTGATAAAGCTGCAAGTACAGCTGTCAGAGGCCTTGACTTGACCCCTCTTCCCCTGTTTACTGTTTAGTGAAAGGGAGATACAAATTCTCACCCAGAGGCTTGTTGTAGACTTGTTTAAATGTATGAATGTGAAAAGGCCTACCCTGGTGCCCAGAACTCAGCCTACAATATTTGTTGATTCTGATCTGAACCTTGGGGACACTATGTTAAAATGCCAACCAAAATCCAATGCAAGACTCAAATGTAGGTTAGCTCAGGAAAATCTGTTCTTTTTAATAGAAAATGTTCTGGCCAACATAAGTCACATTTTCTTCCTGAAGAGTAAAAAAAGAGCCCCATGGGGGCATAGTTGGTCAGAATGAAGACTTTGGGCTTTAAAATAAGAAATGCAAAGAAGCCAATCTCAGCCTCACGACATGTTAGCCATGAAGCTTTGGGGATGTTACTTTACCCCTGTGAGCCTGAAGTTATTTACTGCTGCTTGTAATTTGTTTTTAAATGGAAATAAAAAGTCTTTCTTTGCTGAAATATAGAGGCAATGTTAAAAAACTGGACAAACATAATGGTAAACAAAGTCAAAAAACAAAAATAGTTTTATTATACAGGGCTCAGTCCTTTGATTCCTTTTCTATTTCTATATATTTCTCATGAGCTATATTTCATTTTCAAGGCTTTCACTGAGAAAATCCATGTACTAATGATGCCTGGATTTGTACCCCCAGTCCAGACCTCTTCCCTCATCTCCAGTGTCCTGACAATATCTCCACTTGTATGTCTAATAGATATGTGAGATTTAACATGCACCAAACTAAATGCCTTATCTTCTCCCCTGTAAAATCTGACTTTCTCACTGTCTTACTCATCTATTATAGGCAATTCTGAATTTTAGTTGCTTGGCATAAGTACTTTGGTATCGTTTTGACTTCTTTTTCTTTCATGGCCCTTATCCTATTTGTGAATACATCCTGACATCTCAACCTACAAGATATATCAAGGGCCTCACCAATCCTCATCCACGCCTCCACTCCACACTGATAGAAGCCAGCATCACCTCTGTCTGGAATGATTGCAATGCCTCATAGTTAGTGCTCCTGCTTCCTCCCTTTCCCCATGGTGTATATAACATGGCAGCCGAATGATTGAGTAATATGCTAACCAGATATTTCACTTATGGACTTACAGCCCTCCAATGACTGATTTTCTCACTCAGAACTCAAGTCAAAGTCCTTGCGTGGCCTATGGGGCCCTGCCACACTAGGATCTTCACCTCTCTGGACTCACCTCCTGCACTTGCTCTCACTTGCTCCACACCCACACAGGTGACCTCCTTCCTGAACCTTGTCTATGCTGTGCGTGCCTGCACATTCCAGGCTTCAAGCTGCTGCCCTTACTGTTCACTCTGGCTGCCAGCTCTCCCCCAGGAAATCTACATGGCTCCCCTTCACCTCCCTTAAGCATTTGTTACAATGCCACCTTTCACTGAGGCCTTCTGAGACTAATAAATACCCATATATAAGTACAAGCAATAACACACCCTCATTCACTTGCCAGTCTGACAAAGTTTTAGGAATTTCATTATGCCAAGGACCTATGAAAAGATATTAACTCATTAAATGTTGTTGGGAGTAAAAATGGGGACAACTTCTTTGGAAGGGAGACTCACAGATGTACAAAGATGTGTCCATCACAGTGGTCAGTGCAGCACTTTTTGAAATGACAAGAAAACTTGAAACAATCTAAAATTCCATCAATAGAGAACTGGTTAAATAATTATAGCTTGTTGAGTTAGTAGAAAATTGTGGTGCATATGTTAAGAACAAGATAGATATAGATAGATATAGGTATAGATATATACTGACATAGAAATACCTTAGAGATATATTAAGTAGGAAAAAAGCAAGCTGCTGAACATACTTAGTAAGGTAGGAGCTCATTGGTGGCATGAGTAATGTGTATGCATTGATATGGAGTAGGTGGATTCTTATCTAGGCACATAGAGTTTCTGGCATGACAGTGTTGACTTCTAGGAAAGGAAACTGACAGTTCAGGCTTTTAATTTGCATTTTATTTTCATTTTCACTCTTCTAATATATGTAACATACATGTATATTGCTTTTATTAATACATTTATTAATACTTTTTTAAATGAAGTTGGGCTTGCTCTGGGTTTTAATTGGGCTTTCTTGCTAGATATGTGACTTATGGAAAATAAGTTAAATTTAACTATGCTTCCAATTTTTGCATCAATAACATTAAGTAAATTATAACATTGAACTTATAGGATTGTTGCGAATATTAAATAAAAAGATATATGTAGAAAGTTTAGCAAGGCATTTAGTAAGCACACAATTATAGAAACTAATACATGATTTGTGGCTGGGCGTGGTGGCTCACGCTTGTAATCCCAGCACTTTGGGAGGCCAAGGCTGGAGGATCACGAGGTCAGGAGATCGAGACCACGGTGAAACCCCGTCTCTACTAAAAATACAAAAAATTAGCCGGGCGTGGTGGCAGGCGTTTGTGGTCCCAGCTACTCGGGAGGCTGAGGCAGGAGAATGGCGTGAACCCGGGAGGCGGAGCTTGCAGTGAGCCGAGATCGTACCACTGCACTCCAGCCTGGGCGACAGAGCTAGACTCCGTCTCAAAAAAAAAAAAAAAAAGAAGCTAATACATGGTTTTTACCATAGGTAGTAGTATCATGAAAATGAGAGAATTATGCAAAGCACTCTTCACAATGCCTCGAATAAAGTAGCTTGTTACTAAAAAGCTGCAATTTAATATAATATTAATCAATTAATATCAATAGTAATGGAGGAAAAGACTCACTAGTTTTATGTTACTCCCATTAACGTGGCTAGTAAATTACAGCATCAGAGTAAAAATCGGGGTGTGATTCATTTATCATGATTAATTCAATATCTATGTCCTGAGCGCCTAAGACCTCAGTTCTTCTATTAAAACATACTTGCATCCAAGGGACAAGAAGAATATACAGCACTGTAAAATAAGACAAGTAGCAAGCAATTGTTAAATACAAAATAAACGCAACTAAGAACAAGTGGCCCAGGAGTTTCAGGAAAAGAAATGTCAAGCATGCCCAAGCAGAAATAAGAATACAATAAAGTCTTTAAAAATATGCCTGGCAAGTAAGTGCAAGTCTGCATATTAGAGAGGGTTCCCAGCATGCCAAGGGTGAGATCGCTGCCCAAGCTGCCTCCAGTAACATGATGAAAATCCCCAGAAGCAAAGTATCCAGGAGCCAGGACCTAGGCCAGATTCCTGTCAACTGGCTTATGTTACATGTTGGTGAGTCTCCAGTGATTTCAGAATAGTCAGGCAAACTATCCAGGAATAAATTACTTCAACCCAATAATACAATATTTCTATTATCTATCTATCTATCTATCTATCTATCTATCTATCCACCTACCTACCTACTTACTTTTAGAAACAGGGTCCCACTGTTGCCCCTGCTGGAATGCAGTGGTGTTATCATGGCTAACTGCAGCCTCAACTTCCTGGGCTCAAGTGATCCTCCCGCCTTAGCCTCCTAAGCTGCTAGGATTACAGGCATGCACCACCATGTTCAGCTAATCTTTTAAATTTTTAGTAGAGACAAGGTCTTGCTATGCTGCTTAGGCTAAGCTAGTCTCCTGGCCTCAAGGTATCCTCCCACCTCTGCTTCCCAAAGCACTAGGATCACAGCCGTGAGCCACTGCACCCAATCTCAATATGACTTTTAAAAACTAACATCCGAATCCGGGCCGAGCGCGGTGGCTCACGCCTGTAATCCCAGCACTTTGGGAGGCCGAGGCGGGCAGATCATGAGGTCTAGGAGTCTGAGACGATCCTGGCCAATGTGGTGACACCCCATCTCTACTAAAAATACAAAAATTAGCCGGGTGTGCTGGCTTGTGTCTGTAGTCCCAGCTACTCGGGGGGCTGAGGCAGAAGAATCGCTTGAATCCAGGAGGCGGAGGTTGCAGTGAGCCGAGATCGCGCCACTGCACTCTAGCCTAGGTGGCAGAGCGAGACTCTGTCACTAACGCCCACCTCAATGAACTGCTATATGGTTGCATTATTGACTCTTTATGTGGGTGTTTCCCACACTCACTGTGGACACCTTAAAGATAGGGGTGGGGTTTTATTCTCTAAGTTGTCACAGAACCTAAACAGAGCCTAGCCGTTCCTGGTATACAGTCCATACAAAATGGAGGTTTAATTGACGAATAAACTAATGAATTAGGGACGAGATCTGTCAAGATGGTAAAAGAAAAATAGAAAAGCATATGTTGAAGTTATATTTGTTAACTAACATGAAGAAATAAAGAGTTCATAGTAGGGAAAAAATGGATGCCTCAAGGAGCGATTGAAGAGCTTTTTATGGGCAGTGAAGGAAGCCAAGGGTCTGCATCTGTGATAGACATGCCTTCTCCAAGTAATTTAACATAAAAAATTAAAGCAATGTTTGTAGGATGTGCATTTTCTCTTCATGTAAGAAGGCTTACTGTAAACGTTTATCATCTCTTTGCCTGGTCCATGATTCCTGCAAAATAAGAAACAAACGGGAGAATGTCTCCTCTGAGACTAACAAGAAAAGTCTGACTCTATCCAATCGGTCTAAAGATACACCACCCACAGCAGCAGCTCCCATAGGACAGGGTTATACCAGCAGGGCTGTCATTGTGTGGGAGCAGGGCAGAGAACACTCACAACAGAACTGCAATACGCATCTAAATGGAATGCTGTGGGAATTTATCAGCAATTTCTCCAATTAGAGCTGGAGCCTTGGAGCTTAGCTCTGAATCCCCCCGCCGGGGAGCAGTATCAGTACTAGCTAAATGAATGATAGAGTTGTCCTAAACACTCCTGACATGCAGAGTTTAAGACATGTTCAGACTTTAACCCAAGGCAGCTGATTTGGAATAAGAAAACTGTTTGATTGTTACCACAAAGAGCGGCACACACTACTGTACCAGCTGCCCAGAGCAGACAGCAATGTTCCTGATTGTTACCGACCTCAAGTTATTACAACTTGTGTATCGAATATAAAGTGATGCAATGATTAAACTAACATATATGATACCATTCCTATAGTTCTTAGCCTCTCTACTATGAACACATGAGGTATATATCCACATATATTCCCAGATGGTCTCCTGTAGTTCAATATAAGAAATTCTAAGCTATATTAATCTTCCAAGGGAACTCTTTTAGACCATTTGGAATTGATATTCACTTCTGTATCTGAAAAAGCATATAGATTCATCAAATATTCATGATCATGAAAAGCTTCATACAGTATATGTGGGATTAGATATTGAAATAGTCAAATCCCAAGGGCTTATGGTATTAACATTTTCATTTAAGGGGAAATATGATATTAAACTATAAGTAAATTAGAGATTTGCCATGCTTCTTTTCAGAATGAGATAGCACTATCTTTCATCAAAAGGGCCTTATTCTGAGAGGATATTTATGAAAGAGAAAATATTTAAAATACTCTAGTATGCAGAATTTTCATTAGAAAGATTAAATTTAGGCCATGGGGAAAAGAGACTGAAAAATTTAACCACCTAAAAATCCAAAATAAGTGCACAGGTAAAATAAGATAAAACAAAATGCAAAACATGAAACTGCCAAAAAAACTCCACATGAAACAACAACAAAAAAAACACTATTAGTAAATAAAAAGAGGGACAACAAAATGTTTTTAAAAAATAAAAACTCCTGTCATAAAGGACTAATGTCTAAAAAGCTCTAATGTATGACAAGCTCTAAAAATTTGGAAGAAGGAGGAACCCTATGCAACAATAAGCAAAGATCAGGATAAATAATTTTCCAGAAAAAGAGCCAACATTTGAAACATGTAAAAAATATGCTTAATCTTTTTTATAAGTTTAACTAAACTTATCAAAACTAAACTATGATGAAAAACTAAAACTAATAGTTTAAAACTAACACTATAATTTTTTCATCTATCAATAATTTAAATGTTTGATAAAACAGAAAACTAGGGAGGGAGAGCATTGGGATAAATCACTAATGCTTGCTGGGTTTAATAGGTATGCAATAGTTTGATAAGTGCAGCAAACCACAATGGCACATGTTTACCTGTGTAACAAATCTGCACATCCTGTACACGTATCCCAGAACTTAAACAAACAAACACACAAACAAAAAAACAGAACACCAGTATAAAGAAGGAAAACATGCTTTTATTTCTGGTGGTATTACAAAATGTTAAGATCAGTAAAAGGATAACATTTTTCAAAATTATTAATGGATTTAGTCTTTCACCCAGCAATACCACTTCTGGGAATTTATCATAAATGCATAATTTCAAATATACAAATTAACATTTGCACGAGGTTATCATGGAAGAATTGGGTGTACAAAATATTGTAAAGGAATTGTCTTTCTTTATATGACTACATAAACTACAGTCTTTCCACACACAGAAATATATGCAGTCATAGAGATAACTGAAGTTCTCCATATACCTACAGGGAAAGATCTATAGGAGCTGCAAGGTGCCTAAGTCAAGACGGTAAGCTATCATTTATGTAAAACAGGTAGAAAATAAGAACACATGTTCATGTGTACTTATAACTGCAAAAAGAAAAGTGAAAATATGGACACAAAACTAACAAGGGAAATTTCTTATATGGCAAGAGGTATAATAGGATAGACAGATATAAGAATGAAAGCAGGAGTTTTGGCTGGGTGCGGTGGCTCATGCCTGTAATCCTAGCACTTTGGGAGGCCGAGGCGGGCAGATCACGAGGTCAGGAGATCGAGACCATCCTGGCTAACAAGGTGAAACCCCGTCTCTACTAAAAATACAAAAAAAAAAAAAAAAAATTAGCTGGGCATGGTGGCAGCGCCCTGTAGTTCCAGCTACTCGGGAGGCTGAGGCAGGAGAATGGCGTGAACCCGGAAGGCAGAGCTTGCAGTGAGCCGAGATCGGGCCACTGCACTCCAGCCTGGGCGACAGAGCGAGACTCCGTCTCAAAAACAAACAAACAAACAAACAAACAAAGAGTGAAAGCAGGAGTTTAAAAAACTCCCTTCTACACTTTGGGAGGCTGAGGCGGGCGGATTACCTGAGGTCGGGAGTTTGAGAACAGTCTGACCAACATGGAGAAACCCCGTTTCTACTAAAAATACAAAATTAGCTGGGTGTGGTGGCACATGCCGGTAATCCCAGCTACTCGGGAGGCTGAGGCAGGAGAATCTCTTGAACCTGGGAGGCAGAGGTTGCAGTGACCCGAGATTGTGCCATTGCACTCCAGCCTGGGCAACAAGAGAGAAACTCCATCTCAAAAACAAACAAACAAACAAACAAACAAAAAACAAACAAAAGCAAACCCTTCTATATAGTTTTCTTTGGGTAACAAATATTTCATAAAAATGAAATATTACCTATTCAAAAATAAAATTAGGCTAGGCATGGTAGCTCACACCTGTAACCCCAGTGATTTGGGAAGCCAAGGTGGGAGGATTGTTTGAGGCTAGGAGTTCAAGTCCAGCTTGGGTAACATAACATTCATCTCTACTAAAAACAAACAAACAAAAAAACCCCACAAAAAACTACAACAACAACAAAAAAACTGGGCACGGTGGTGCATGCCTGTAGTCTCAGCTACTCAAGAGGCTGAGGAGGGAGGATCGCTTGAGGCCAGGAAGTAGAGGACACACTGAGCCATGATCACACCACTGCACTCCAGCCTGGGCACAGAGCAAGATCCTTTAAATAAATAAATAAATAAATAAATAAATTTATCTAAAAAAGCAACAGTCTAATGCACAATTCAAAGGAAAAACAAGAGCACCTACTTGACATGGATTAGTTCTACAAGTCAGGTTTTCTCCAAATCAAACTTTTTCATTATAGTATTTGCCAGTGTATTTTCCTGCTGGACATCACATTATTCCATTTGGTAGAATGATAGATGAGAGAGAGAGAGAGAGAGAAAAGAGAATGAGAATACCAGATTGATTCTTCTTTTTAAATTTATAAATATCATGAGGCCAACAGGTATCATATTATTTTATAAATATTCCTTTTATTATTCCAAATTAAACCACATATACAGCACACATTATTTCTAGTGGGAAAATGTTATGAGTATCTTACTAATGTATCTTTCGCTGGTACGATAGTGGCTTTTCTACTTAGTACTTTAGAGAATTTAAAAAGTATTATCAGTAATGTGCATTAATTTTATAGTTAGAAAAAGTCAATAACAGTTGCTGTCAACATTTTATTTCATTGCCAACCAACCTGATTCAAAGGAAAACCTTTAGTCTATGGCAAATGCAATTACCCTGAGTGTGTAAATGTCATGTGGAGTGAAATGTACTGATGAGCATGTGAGCATCAGCTTTCTTATGGTGCAGAAGGTGGCACACTCTCCTAGCAACATCTAGAAGCTAAACCAGCCCTGCCAGCACCATTAAAATCCTGGATTGTTTGTAAAATGAGAGAAATTTCCCAGAAACAAGGAATACTGTGGGCCCACCAGTCAAAGCTGAATTCTGAGTCCTCTATTGTACTCTTTGCTGATGATATAGGCTGCCCATTTCCTTAACAAGCTGGATTTGTTCATTGGAAAATGTAACAAATAATTTCAAGGTTATGTCACTGTTGGCAAGTGCAGTAATGCTGGTGAAAAAAGGAAGTTTTCAGAACAAGGCAGAGACTGAATCTTGTTTGGAACCACCAGCCTACAAAGCCTGCAGTAGGGCCATGTTGTTCAAATTCACAGGACTGTCTGATGCTCACAGATATGAAATGTCAACTGGCTTTTATAATGATATAAATTAAAAGAGATTAATTTGTTCAAATTCAGCTTCTATGAGTAAGGAAATAGCTTTGAAACATACATTTTATGTAGTGTCTCTATCCTTTAAATATTTGCTTGCTAAAGGATTCATTGCTTTGCTTCCAGTCACAGCCAACTTTTGATTATTCAGCAGATGATCCTTTGCATGGATTTGAGTTGTTTTCTTTCTCTTGTCTACTTTTGTAATTTTATAGTTTATTAGTCCTTCCTCCATTAAATAGGCAAAGAAAGAGAAATTAAGGTAAGAGAAAACAATTGGTTATAGGCCAATTTTATGCAAATGTGCTGTTCCCTGCCCATGGATAATTACTACTGCTTTTCGGTCAAATATTATGATGACTTCTATGGAAATTTTTTTTTTTTTTTTTGTAGACAAGAGAAAGCAGAAAGGTCTTGTGCAATGTCTTGAGCCATCTAATTCTGCCCTCCCTTTTGCCTGTGTTTTGCTTGGTGACCCTGGACAAACCATGTGTTTCCCTGTCCCTTTATGTTTTAGAAGATAGTGACACTGCTGATATTTAAAAACACTTCCAGAGAATTGAGGAAAATAACTTAAAATGCCTATAAAATGTACCCAAGAACACTTAAACACGAATTTAAGGACACATACAAGCAGATTCATTTCTTCCAAGGAATTTTAAACTCTGATCCTTGCGCACAACCACCAGGCTATTAGCAATGCAAGTAAACCACAGCTTGCTCCATTACCAAAAAAAATTCCATTTTTCTAAGGCTCTGTCAGGGCATATTATTCTGACAGATAAAATCACATTACAATCAACTCTAATTATGTACAAAATATGATTGTTTATGCTTTCGATTGTAACCAGGACTTGGGAATTATTTTTTAGAGACTTTTTCTGTTCATAGGGTATTCTGTAATTTGACCACTGCTGGCTTAATTATAACAGCATTTGCCAGAAACATAGACTAGAGTGACTTCTTATATCTACACGCTAAATGAATACATGACCTCCCTTGGCTAAGAGGAACCATCAAATGCATGATTTTGACAAAAGAAATAAATGTTTTCACTTTAACATTTAGTGTTAGCCAAGGGGAAAAAACATTAATTTTCTTTTTCTAGTCTTGGCAAGAAACAGGGAAGGGAAACAAGTGCCTAAAAAAGATGGAAAAAAAATACCATCTTTGTTCGTTTGGCCTACATGTCCTCATGCAATAAGACATCCTGACATCATTAGTGAGGATCGGTGGCTGGCACAGGGGACAGGAGGGGGTTTCACCAGAAAACAAAAGATAAGAAGGAAAAGAAGAGGCTAATAAAAACCTAACAATCTGGTTTTTGTTTTTGCTTGGGTTTTTTTTTACACTGAAGACTCAGATATCTATGGAGCAGTTTGAGGTAACTAAACAATAAATCCTGTCTTTTCAAATTATGTCTGTTTCTGACTAACATCTCTTACTTCCTAGATGAGTAATTTTGTGAATATTTTAGAGAAAACTTAGCTGTGGAAATCTGGTTAGGCTTCTTTTTTTTTTTTTTTTTTTTGAGATGGAGTCTTGCTCTGTCACCCAGGCTGGAGTGCAGTGGCGACATCTTGGCTCACTGTAACCTTGGCCTCCTGGGTTCAAGCGATTCCCCTGCCTCAGCCTCCTGAGTAGCTGGGAACACAGGCCCGCACAACCACACCTGGCTAATTTTTTTTTTTTTTTTTTGGTATTTTTAGTAGAGACTGAGTTTCACCATGTTGGCCAGGCTGGTCTCAAACTCCTGACCTCAGGCGATCCACCCGCCTCAGCCTCCCACAGTGCTGGGATTACAAACGTGAGCCACTGCACCTGGCCGCTGGATAGGCTTCTTAATGGACTACATCAGCTAAGAATCTATTTCAGAAATTGGCTGGCTTGGTAATTGAATAATAGCTTTCACTGGTGATCCATGAATGTATGGAACTCTTTATAGCTTCTGGAGGAGGAGTTTGGAGGAAAAAGGAAATCAAGCCTAGCAATACTAAAAAAAAAAGTTCTATTTATATAACTGCATAATCCTATTAAAGAAAATATTAAAATTTGAAACAACGTAAAACTTGGAAAAAATCTAAGGCAACTAAGACACTGCTGCAAAATGGGCTAGAGGATTATACAGAAAACCCTATTGAACATATACAGGCATACGTCATTGATACGGGTTTGGTTCCAGACCACATGAGAAAGTGAATGTCACAATATAGCAAGTCACACATATTCTTTGTTTTTCTGTGCATGTAAAAGTTATGTTTATACCATACCATAGTCTATTAAGCTATTGAGTGTGCAATGCCATTGTATCTGTAAAGAGATGCATGTATCTTAATTTAAAAATACTTTATTGCTAAATAATGCCAGTGATCATCTAAGCCTTCACAAGTCATAATCTTTTTGCTTCTGGAGGGTCTTGCCTCAGTGTTGATGGCTGCTGACTGATCAGGGTGGCGGTTGCAGAAGGCAGGGGTGGCTGTGACAATTTCTTAAAATAAGACGACAATGAAATTTACCTCATCAATTGAGTCTTCCTTTCACAAAATATTTCTCTGGAGCATGTGATGCTCTTTGATTGCATTTAATCCATAGTAGAGCTTCTTTCAAATTTGGAGTCAGTTCTCCCAAACCCCACTGCTGCTTTGTCAATTGAGTTTATGTCATATTTTAAATCCTTTGTTGTCATTTCAACAGTGTTCAGAGCATCTTCACCAGGAGTAGTTTCGATCTCAAGAAAACATTTTCTTTGCTCATTGTGAAAAGCAGCTACTCATGCATTCACGTTTTATGAGATGTCAGCAATTCAGTCACATCTTTAGGCTGCACCTCTACTCTAATTCTCTTGCTGTTTCTACCATATCTGCAATGACTTCCTCCACTGAAGTCTTGAACCCCTCTGAGTCATCTATGAAGGTTAGGATCAACTTTTCCAAACTCCTATCAATGTTGATATTTTGACCCCCCCTCTCATGGATCACAAATATTCTTAATGGCATCTAGAATGGTTGATCCTTTCCAGAATGTTCAATTTACCTTACCCAAATCAATCAGAGGATGGCAATCTATGGCAGTTATAGCCTTAAAAAACGTGTTTCTTAAATAACAAGACTTGAAAGTTGAAATGACTCTTCTATTCATGAGCTGCAGAATAGATGTCATGTTAGCAGGCATAAAAACAACATTAATCTCCTTATTCACCTCCATAAGAGCTCTTGGATGATCAGATCCATTGTCAACGAGCAGTAGTATTTTAAAAAGAATCCTATTTTTCTGAGCAGTAGGTCTCAATTGTGGGCTTAAACCGTTCAGTAAACCATGCTGTGAACAGACGTGCTGCCATTCAGGCTTTGTTCCACTTGAGGAGCACAGGCAGAGTTGATTTAGAAGAATTCTTAAAGGCTGTAGGATTTTTGGAATGGTAAATCAACACTGGCTTCAACTCAAAGTCACCTGCTGCATTAGCCCTTTACAAGAGAGTCAGCTCGTCTTTCGAATCCAGGCATTGACTTTTCCTTGTTATAAGAGTTATTTAAGTCCTAGATGGTGTATTGTTCCAATAGAAGGTGGTTTCATCTACATTGAAAATATGTTTAGTGTAGCCACCTTCACCAATGATCTTCTCTAGATCTTCTGGATAACTTGGTGCAGCTTCTCCATCAGCACTTGCTACTTCACCTTGCGCTATGCTATGGAGAAGGCTTCTTTCCTTGAATCTCATGAACCAAACTCTTCTGGCACCCAGCTTTACTTCTGTAACTTCCACGACTTTCTCACCCTTTATAGAACTGAAGAGAGTTAGAGCCTTGCTCTGGATTAGGGTTTGGCTTAAGGGAATGGTGTAACTGGTTTGTTATTCATGTATCATTAAAATTGTCTTGTATTTATCAATAGCCATTAGAGTTTCTGAAGCCTCAGTGTTTTCCTCTTTTTATACAATATACATTTTCTTGTATGTTTATATAATGCTATCATATATGTTTTATATAAATAACATATTTCAGAGGAATGCATATTAGATAACCTTAATTTTTTAAATATCTAGGGTCTGTGTCATGCATGACACAGACTTTCTCCATCAAACTTTCTCCATACCAGCAATGAGGCTGTTTTACTTTCTTATCATTCCTGTGTTGACTGGAGTAGCACATTCAATTCCCTTCAAGAATTGTTCCTTTGTGTTCACAACTTGACTAACTGGTGCAGGAGACTAGCTTTCCATCTTGTCTCAGCTTTCAACATGCCTTTTTCACCAAACTTAATCATTTCTAGCTTTTGATTGAAAGTGAGAGACGTGTTTCTCTTCCTTTCACTTGAACACTTAGAGGCCATTGTAGGGTTGTTAACCGGCCTAATTTTAATATTTTTGTGTCTTAGGGTATAAGGAGGCCTAAGAAGAAGGATGCTGAAAGGGAGAGAGGGTTAGTAGAGCAATCAGAACACACAGCATTTACCAATTAAGTTTGCCACCTTTCATGGGTGCAGTTCATGGAATCCAAAACAATCACGATAGTAACATCAAAGAACACTGAGCACAGATCACCGTAACAGATATAATGAGAAAATATTATGAAAGAATAAAATGTAATAAAAAAGCTTGAAACATTGTGAGACTTACCAAAATGTGATATAGACATACAAAGTGAGCACGTGCTTACTGGAAAATGGCCCCAAGAGATTTGATGGACACAGGATTGCTATAAACCTCCAATTTGTGAAAAACCTAATATCTGCAAAGCACAAAACAGTGAAGTGTAATAAAACAATGTATACCTGTACTTTACTTCTGAATTATTATATACATTTCATATTTCTAAGGCTATCTATATTTCATATTCAGAATGCTGTTAAACTGACACATGGTTTATACTTTAAGTAAAACTCACAACCTGAGTAAGATCTCTCTGGCCCCTCGTTTCCCAGGATATGAGGTATACTGACATTTATCTCTGGTAATATTAGCAGAAGATGTACTAAGAATATAAAGTAGTATTTAAAGGACTATTTTATATGTTGACCCTCTTATAATGAATTACAAAGTAATATGAGCCCCTTTAAGTGGAAATTTTTCATTGTAGTGATTTCCATTCTCTGTTTCATTTATCTTTTCCTATTTTTCTGTCTTACTACTTGAGGATTGTATGTTTAGGCTAAGCAATGAACATATTTTAACCACACTGGAAGTTTTTCAAAATTACCCTTCAGTCTGTATCTAGAAAATAAGAGTCAACATGCATGACACAGACCCTAGATATTTTAAAAATTTAGGTTATCTAATATGCATTCCTGTGAAATATGTTATTTACATAAAACATATATGATAACATTGTATAAACATATAAGAAAATGTATATCGTATAAAAAGAGGAAAACACTGAGGCTTCAGAAACTCTAATGGCCATTGATAAATACAAGACAATCTTAACGATACATGAATAACGAAAGCTGAGCTCCTTGGAAAAAAAAGAATACATGGGTCTAGTATATGCTTACAGACATACATGTGTACCTCAACCTCAATGCAGCTTTTATACAGTCATGCACTACATAATATCATTTCAGTCAACAACAGGTTTTATATGTGATGATGGTCCCATAAGATTTTAATTTTTTTTTTCTTTTTGAGACAGAGTCTCACTCTGTAGCCCAGGCTGGAATGCAGTAGCCGGATCTCGGCTCACTGCAAGCTCCACCTCCTGGGTTCACACCATTCTCCTGCCTCAGCCTCCCCAGTAGCTGGGACTACAGGTGCCCACCACCACGCCCACCTAATTTTTTTGTATTTTTAGTACAGACAGGGTTTCACCGTGTTAGCCCGGATGGTCTCAATCTCCTCACCTCATGATCCGCCCGCCTTGGCCTCCCAAAGTGCTGGGATTACAGGCATGAGCCACTGCGCCTGGCCAGATTTTAATATTTTTACTATACATTTCCTATGCTTAGATATATTTAGATGCACAAATACTTGCCATTGCATTACAATTGCCCATACAGTAACAGGCCAGGTTTGTAGCTTAGGAGCAATAGGGTATATTGTATAGCCGAAGTGTGCAGGAGGCTAGACCAACTAGGCTTGTGTAAGTGCACTGTTTGATGTTCATGCAATGATAAAATCGCCTAACAGCACATTTCTCAGAACATATCCCCATCTTTAAATGACACATGACTGTACATAAATATACATACATGCGGACAAAAACAAAAGGATATCATTTCAGGATGAAAACTTGGGGAAAGGGCACATTACACATAACCAGGAGATCACTCATTAAACAAGTTGCTGTACAGAGACTTTAAGAGGTTAAGTCCAAGAACATGAGGAAGATTCTTTTTAGTGAAGGGAGGCTAAGTAAATGAAACCTGTGGGCATTAACTTTGAACTCTATACCAAACATTTCAAAAATTCGAACTGACTGGACAAATTCATATGTCACATCAACTGTACAAGGAGACTCATCAAAGCTGCTACTTTGTATGCAATAAATGATGAGTGAAGGAGGAGGTAAAGAGAGTTACTTTTAAAATTAATGTTAAAGATGCTGGCAATAGTTTCCACATTCATTCATAGACCTTACAGCTAGGCTTATTGCTCCACAGATATTTGAAATAAGATCTTTATAAGAAAAGTGAGGATCTGTGACTGCTTGAGTTTTGGTTTTCTACCCATATGGTATGTATTCCTGTCCTTCCCATCACCCTGCACTGAGGCCTGAGTCACAGACACACGGCACTATGTGGCTGCAGTAGCTGCAGCCAAATCACTCACCTGTTTGAGCTCAATTTTCTCACACTGAAATGAGAACATTAAATAGATGCTTTCAAGGAGTTTTTAAAATGCAGAATGCATTTAATCTATACCATGGAGTAAACTGGGGCATAACAAAGAACAACTGTAAAACTGAGACAAATTTTTGATGAATATGCAAAAGCTATAAATATGAATGAGTGCTATTATAAAAATAATACTAATACTACAAATAAGTAGTATCAAGTGGCCAAACCTAAGTGGTTCTAACCTTATGCTATAGATTATTCCAAGGTTTATACTTGTACATATCAATGCTCATAAAAATCCCATGAGGTTGACAAACAAATGAGACACAGAGATGCTACGTCACTTTCAGAGAGTCACATATATTGTACATGGCAGAGTTGAGAGTCAAACCTGGGCAGTCAGACTGCAGAGTATATGCATGAACCCCGCGTTCTCCTGCCCCACCCGGTAGTTAGCCCAAGCAATTCCACACCTGTTCCAAGCTTTGTCCTTCTGGGATGAATTGAGCCATGTTTCTGGTACACTTGCTTTCCTACGTTGCCTCTAGGCACGTCAGAATCTCCTTCCCAAACTCAATTCCGCCAGATTCTAATTACCCTTCAGGACTCTATTCTAGTTCAACCCCTCCCTCAAACCTTTCTCCATGCAGCCACAAGACATAGCAGTTAGAGTTGGTGCTTTTTTCTGAAGTCAGACCTATGTGGTTCTCTTCCATCTCTATGTCTTTGCAATGAGAAGCAGAACAGTAATTACTACTCGGTTTGTCGTTAGGATTTTATCCAAATACACCTTAGTGCAGTGCCAAGTGCGGAAACAGCACTCAAAGCACATTGGCTATCTTTTCTGATTCTACCCATTCAGAATAAACTCTTCCATCTTTGTAGGGTTACAGAATTACTAGTATGCAAAGGCAAGTCCTATGGGTTGTAAACTAGTTATTCTTTTTTTTTTTTGACAAACTTCCTTGAAGAACTGGACTCTGAAGAAGGGAAGCATAAAACATATCCTTAGTGTATGCTCGCAGTCTGATTGAGGAGACAAACATTAAACGGTGACCATAGGACAATGTTTTACACGCTATGAGAGACATAAGAACAAAAGTCTGGCAGCAGAAAAGTCATTTATTGAGATGGAAGAAACAGCATACTGAAGCTCGTCATACCTGAATCACATTCTGCACTTGTCCATTTCTAACCGATGGTGGAAAATTAAAATTTCATGGAGGCCTCAGCTTCTTCATCAATAGAAGTATTTTTTTGTATATTCAAGATAAAAATTAGATTTGGAGTACAATAGGCAAGGATTCATGGTAGCTAAGATGATCACCTGCCTGATGTCAGGACTGATACCTGATGGAGGCTTTTGTCCTCCAACAATATCCAGCCCATGGTAGACCCTCATTACATGAGTGGACGCATGCACTTTTGTGTCAATTTACCTAACCCATGTCTGTCCTGCTCCTTATCAATGTTTATAGCCTCCTATGATAAAGAGGAATTGTTTTGTTCTCTGTCTGGCATCACAGATGGAATTTCTCCTTGTTGGAAGCCATGGCTTTCTATTTGTATTATATCTAGGTAAGTCATCCCAGGTGAGGGAAAGTGGGGATGCTAAAGGAGTTTTAAAAGTCCTATCATTCATTTCTCCCATTGTAAGAAGCCTTCAACATGAGTACTGGAAAATCCATGAATGACCCATAATAAGGAGGGAACGTAAAGTAAGAGAGATGAGAAAGAACTTAATCAGCAGCTCTGTTGTTTACCTGTGGCTAACGTTTCCACAGGGCCCCTGCTAGAAGTTATTTATCTCTGCCCAAAATGATACAGCTCAGCCAGTGGAGGGAAGAGAATCAGAACATTAAGACGTGAAATTCAGGGAAAATCTAAGGGATACATTGGTCCAGAACAAAGCCACTTAGTTGATGGTGATATGAACCAATGTAACCAATAAGATAAGTACATTAAAAAATAAGTGATCATCAGTAAAATTAGTAATGCTAATAGGGAACCCAAAAGAAGAACTGGTAGAACTTGGCAAGGAGGTTACTAACCCTGGGCTCTGAAGTCTAGGATTGGAGTCCATTGGAACACTAGAAAGTTTATTGTTCAGCGAGTGGCCACAAAGGCCACATGACCCGGAGAGTACCAGCACATCATATAGCAGGAAGGAAAGATGTTAAGGACTAAAGAATACAGACGGTAAGAGAAAAATGCAACAGTAGCAGATATAGCAGCAGTGATGACAGTAGAGAAAATGTATGGTAAAACATCAAGTTCTAGCTTTGTAACAGTTGGATATTAAATTCATACAAATCATTATGAAAAAGAGGATAACCAAATGGAAAAACTGGCGAAGATTAAGCAAGCACTTCACAGAAGAAGACATCCAAAGGGCCAAAAGTATATGGATAGGTTCTCAACATCATTAGTCATTAGAAAAATATGAACTCGAACCAAAACAAAATGCCACTAAGTACCCAAAAGAATGAGTAAAACTAAAACAAAACAAAATCAGATAATACCAAGTATTGGTGAGGATGTGGAGCAACCAGACTAAACAATTTTAGCAGCATGTTTTAAAGCTGAACTTCTGCCCACACTGAGACTGAACAAGTCTACTTCCAGAGAAATACCTCCTCAAAATGAGCACACATGGTTATCAAAAAGGAATTTGAGGAATCTTTATGCCAACTTTATTCTAAATAGCTCAAAACTCAAGAAAACCCAAATGTCTATCAACAGCACACTGGATAAAAACCTTGCGGTATGTTGTTATGTAGAATTACTGCACAGGAACACGAAAGAATGAACAGGTGCACACAACATGGCTGGACAAACAAATAAAAAGTACCTATTATTTTATATGATTCCACCAACATGCCTTTTAACAACAAGCAAAACTATTATACAATGGGGTTAACAGAATGGTAGTTTTCATTAGGGAGTATTGATGGAACAAAGGAAGCTGCCTGGGATCTTGGCAGTATTTTATGTATTGATCTGGGTGATGATGGCAAAGGTATATACAGGTGCTATGTAGAATTAAACATTTATTTAGATGTAGACTTAAGATTTATGTATTTTACCTTAGGTATGTTATATCTTAAAGGATTTTTTAAAACCCAAACAAAAAGAAACAATTTTAATCAAGAAGTCACTTCTGACCCAGGAGCAGAAAAAAACAAGTCTCAAGGCAATGGCAACTCACAGGAGAACTGAGCTGTGTGAAACTTACTCTAGGCATGCCCAGTTAGAAGAGTTTCCCATTGCCTAAGGGAAGGTAATAAACAAAACCACACCTCCCGCAAGTCATTATCACACCTAGGTCCAAAATAAACAGTTTCACCTCTAAGAGTTTAGGCAAATCTCAACTAATTTATTTTTCTTTTTAAAAGTTTTTAAACTTCTAGGTAATTGAAACGTGGCATTAAACTCTGATGACCTATTTGATGATTCTTTAAATAGGCAGTCTGCATTTCTAATTGCCTCTATTTCCAATTTTCATGGTAGTTTTCTCAATTAAAAAATATAAATTTTGTCAGAATTATTTAAGTAAACAGCTACATAGGGTAAGCTCTTTCCAGAAATGAAAGACAAATGACCAAATCATTTATTCTGCCTCCAAAATAGCTAATTAGCAACTAATTACCATTAGATATCTTCGGGTGACCTAGGCAAGCTGGGCACACAGAGAGCATTGTGAGTCCGTGATTGAATCAATTCACCTCCCCTCATGTAATAGCAATGAGAGGTTTTCTCCTATGAGACTTTAATTCCTCTGAGAACAGAAACCATTTCTTATTCACTACCTCATTCCCTTCAGTTTCTAGATCATGTGTTTTCTTCGTTTAGCCTCATTCCAGACACGATTTAAAACAGCTTGCGATGATATACCCATAACTGTAGATACAGAGGATATAGTTGAATTTTTAAAGGAGATGAACAAGAAAATACAAGGGTGAGTATACCAAATGGAGTCAACATGAGATTGAAAAGGCAAATGCTCAAATGCTATGTACTTTCTAGAGTCTGCTAAGAAATTTGGCTGAGTTTTCTAGCAGCCAGCTCCGATGCTGGGCACTTGATTGGTGCCCACTTCATGTTTACTGTTGTTGAATGAACGTCAGGATGGAGACACCATCAGGTGTAACTACACATCAACACCCAGACTCTTCCCTGGCTAAGGGCTTTTGATTTCTCTGTTTATAGTCTCTTTTGAGTGGGGAGCTTAAACTGTTCTGCTAAAAGAAGCCATTTTGCTTCTGATCTTCTGGCTTCCTGCTTCCAATTTGTCCAGAGCCCTCACTTCCACTTCTGGTTTGTTTTCATTATTTGTATTTAATAAATTGGCTTTGAAATTCTCGATTCTGATGAATAAATATTGACAATCCTCTGTCCATTAGCAAATAAACTACATCTTAAAACTTAGTGCAAAGATACAATTTAATATTAGTTTCATATGCCATGCCAAAGTGGCTTTCTAATAATGGTAACAAAAATAAACCTGCTAAAATAATTTATGACCTGGCCTCTGTTACTTTGTGCAAAATTATGTGAAGAATGGACATGATAACATGATGATCTGTGTAATTTTTACTCTAAATAACGTGGGTTGATTAGATATGGGGAGAAAAAAAAAGACAGAATGAATTGCTGGTTGTGCACACCAGAATTTTAACAATGTGACACTCGTTATCTGACAGGTAGGAGTGGGGGAAATTAATATTTTCTTTCTACTCATGCATTTTATATATTTTTACAAGGAACTTGATTTTTTGTGATAAAAACACATATTATATAACAAATATAGCCATCGGTAAGCATAACTACCCAAAAAGAAATATCTTTGACATGTAAATCTTCCATTTTTATGAATTATCTAGAAACCTAGCTTTATTTTATTGTTACTGCTTTATCAGAGTCCAAAAATAATAAGTAAAAACAATATACTAAAAATGTCATAAATGAATAGACCAGCCAGGATATTTCTGCTTATTTTTAGCCCAATTCACAAAATTGTGCACGACCACATGCCCCTGGGTGCAGAACCATATCTGACTCTCTTGTCCATGTTGTTTACTTATGTAATAAAATGGTATTTTATGTTTGTCAGGTGAGGAGTTAGCATTCAAGTGCAGCAGTGCCTAATGTAGCTGCCCTTTAATGTTTTATTCTAGGCAACTCAGCTAAGATTTAAAAAGAAAAAAAAAAGGACAAAAGAAATAAAAAAACTAAAAGCCCCATTCTTCCATTGATATAGCAGGATTTAGAGGACAAGTCCCTATTAGTGTTAATGGTAGTTATGTGCCTGAATTTTCCCAACGTTCCCAAGCTAAATGGGAAAATCTGGCAGCCTCCTCCCGAAAACATATACAGCTGCAATAATCTTGTCCTTTCAGATTTTTCTACAGTAAGTTCCCCCAAATCCTGTATTTAATGTATTTCACTCATTAAATTTGATTAGAGTAGAGTTGAATGATTTTTTAAAAAACTCTCAACTAATTGTTGCTTAATTAAGTTGGGTAATTTGTGATTCAAAAAGGATGTTAGATTTCTAGTCAGGTAGGGCTCAACTCACAGTTACTGATGGAAGAAGAGTAAGATACAGAATTGAGTTTCAGAAATCAATGCTAAATAATAAAAAATTAAAAGGGAGAAGCAGTCTATCAATAGTACTGCTGTAACAAAGGGGATGCTTGTTTTATATTGATCAGCTGCTGGTAAATAATGCATCACTGCTTCCCAGCAGTGCAGGATCTTGCGGGGTTGTTTATTGCAAGGGGTGGTTGGACAGAACCGAGCAATCAATATTGGAGCTGTAAGCATACTTGCAAATGCACTTCTGCAGCTCACCATCAAGAGTGATTTCCAGACCATTAAAAGCTCAAGAGCCTGGAAGAAAATAAGGAGACCACGGCTGTACACAATTCTTCACAGGACCTTTTAGAGAACACTAAGATTTGGCTCTTGTTAAGATGGAGCTAACTTAAGAGGTTCTTTCTGAATGCTTTCTTACCCTTCATTTACTACATTACATCTACAGGTTTCACAGCTTAAATGAATTATGTGGAATTTACTGGCCCCTTAGATTTATCAGATGCACATCTTTACTATTCAATTATCAGCTACATTGGCAGTCATTTACTAGAAAAATCACCCTGCAATAGGACCTTAACTCTAGGATTCTTCTCCATCTTATGATTTTATAATGAAAAAGCAACAATGTCTATTGGAACTGTAGATCCAGGTACATTATTATTATCTTCAGCATCACAAATCCTAGCAGTGCTTAAAATTTAGCAGCAGTAAATGCTTTTACCGCCCATGAAAAATAACTGCACTGGAAAACAGTTATCTGCCATCTCCAGGACAAGAGCCTTAAGAATTGTCATTTGTTCTGTGGGATCTTGATGGCATAAAAGCAGGGCAGAGCATGCGCTACTTATAAGTTCCACGATGTTAGGTAAAGTCTGCAGCCTTTTGAGATATCTTTATCCATAAAATGAGGACAGGAGTATCTTCCCTTTTTTTTTTTTTTTTTTTTTTTTTAACTCATAGGACTTTGGAGAGAGAAAGAAGCTAATGTACATAGTAGGTTTATAAACTACTTTATTATTTTATGAAGAAAGAGCTAAATAAAAGAACAAGGAAATTCCTCATGGGAACCCATACCCCCAGGAGTTATTACTAGTGAAACCAATGATAAAAGTTATATTTAGGCCAAGTATCACAGAAATCATGCCTTTTTTTTTTTTTTTTTTTTTTTTTTTTGTCTTTTTGAGACGGAGTCTTGCTCTGTCGCCCAGGCTGGAGTGCAGTGGCACGAGGTGGGCTCACTGCAAGCTCCGCCTCCCGGGTTCACGCCATTCTCCTGCCTCAGCCTCCAGAGTAGCTGGGACTACAGGCGCCCGCAACCACGCCCGGCTATTTTTTTGTATTTTTAGTAGAGAAGGGGTTTCACCGTGTTAGCCAGGATGGTCTCGATCTCCTGACCTCGTGATACGCCCACCTCGGCCTCCCAAAGTGCTGGGATTACAGGCGTGAGCCACCGCGCCCGGCCAGAAATCATGTCTTAAACGAATCCTCCTACTAATTAGCTAATGTCGTCTGGTATTTTATTATTTTATCTTATTTCAGAAATAATGTCAGTTGGTTTAGATATATATAAACCCTACTGGGTAAATTGTGTTAAAATGGTTTGAACAACCAAAAAAAAAGGCAGAGATAAATGTGGGACCAGCGAAATGCATAAAGTACATATGATCAAAGCATAAATACAATAGATGGGCTTAGTGGTACACTGGAGGTGATTCTCAGCCGCTCACAAAAGGTAACTGTGCAGGTCTTCCTAACTTCACATCTAATGATATTATGTTGGTAACTTGAAATCAGCCATAGTGGGATAATATATGCCTCAGAAACTGGCAGATGCTACAAACCAGAACTTTTCTTTTCCCCCATAGCCAGCTGTGAAACATTTACCAGCCCCAAGGATCAGCTAGATGCTTGGCTATAGACTCCACAGCGCCCAGAGAAAAAGAGATATATCTCCTACACAGCTCAATGTCACAGGATAATCTGAATCTGATCTATGAGGGGAATTTGTGACTGTTTTTGTTACTAAGCGTAGGTATTTCTTGCTTCAGGTTCTCACAAAGAAAATACTTATATGAGGTAATGGAAAACGCTTTCCAACTTCCTGGTTTTCACCAAGTTCAGCAAAAACAACTGCATTAAAAGTGGGTACATTTTAATATCATGCTTTTAAATTGCCATTGTACCACCAGTCAAGAGAAATTATTACCTAATTTCTATTACCTAAGCATTTTCATAGAAGAGCAAAAGTTATTTTTATTTTTAAAGCACACTGTTATCCAAAACAATCCAAAAGGAAGTCTAATAACAGTAGGAAATTAAGTAATCTCCATATAGAAAGGAATTGCCAAAGAAGGGAAGAAAATAGAAGGCATTACTCATGAGTACCACCATCTCTCAGAACCTGGGCATGTTTCCTAACTGAATGGCTATCCGAGGTTATTAATTTGATGTGCATTATATCTAGTGAGCCTCAACTTCTATCTTCTGTTAGTGTCAGCAAATTTCAAAGTACCCATGCTTGCTCCATATATACTAGTTTTAACATAATGGGTATAATTTAAAAAAAAACAGTTTTTCTTCTTCTTTCCAGAAATTATAATCTGTGTTCAAAAAAATTTATTTTATCTGTGCCTGTGTATTTGTGTGTGTGTGTGTGAGTATGTGCGCATCTCTAGATTTGTCTGCCCCTGTAGCACAATATTGTCTGTCCTTTGCATTAAATCATCTTTTATAAAAGTGTAGAGACAGAAGGAAAAAAAATAAATTCCATGATATTGGCAGATCTCCACCTTATCATATAAACTAATTTATTTTAGCTAAACAAGTTTAGTCTATTCCTCTTTTTCCTATCTTTAATATAAGTGCTATTTGCCTCTACAAGGGTGTCAGCATCATTGGAATTTCAGAAAATGAAAAACACTTGTCAACACTTTTACTTTCCTTCATTCTCACTCTTTTATGCATTACAGATGCCTCCACTGGAACACAAACACAGACACACCTATCTTCCCTGCCACTCACATGTAACATTCAATTTCCAACTGCATCCTTTAACATCCTGCTAGCTGCTAAGCTGCAGTCCGTTCACGCTCTTGATGAAAGTGCACTGCTTAAAATATTGGCCAACCAACTCTACCTCTTTTACATTACAAAGAAGAATGAGCAAGGGAAGAGATTATCTTTCAGGAGTTTGCCAAGTACATTACTAATTAAAGGGATACAATATATATTTTAATAGCATTATTGGCTCTGGAAAAACAATATGTGCTCATTATAAGAAATGTTTAAAAGGAGGAATGTACAAAAAAATAGCTGGAAACTAAAATTATACCTCCAAAAACATAATAACTGCTAATGCTTGAAGACTAATCATCCAAATATCTCTACACATACACACAAAAATATACCTTCAATTTTGCTAAATATAATTATTAAAAATGTTACTTTGCAAAAGTGTTTCAGTGGAAGATTTTTGTAGGAATTTCTGCATATTCTGCATATTATTGGTTTTAGATTTTATTTTTTGGTTGTTATTGATGATGACATCTCAGGGCTTATTACTATGTAAATAGGAACAAAATTCGTACATGTTTTAGTAAAGATAAACATAATGATCCATGATTAGGAAATTTCAAATTCCTTTATCATTCAAAACATTGCTGGACTGTCTACTTGGTGGTAGAAACAAGGTTGGGTCAGAGGAGAGCTGGCCTTGTATGGTTCAGATCCCATGAAATAGATACATTTGTAAATGTTAAATCGCTGCATAGCAGAATAAGTGGCGTGAAGTCCTCTCTCTCTCTCTCGCTATATATATATATATGCAACCTTTCAACAAATGGTGGATTGAGTTTACACTAGTGTAAGTGTAAGGGATCTCTCTAAGTGCTGAAGAATAAAAAATAAATAAAGTCCTTGCCTTCAAAGAACTTACAGGTAAGTAGGGAGATAAATTGCAAAAATGGAAAATTTAAAATAAAGGAAAAATGGAATCAAAACCCTTTTAATAAAATTGGGAAAACTTGATGGTTGATTTGGTGAAGAATAGTTTTTAAAAACTAAGTTTAAGGCCAGGTGCAGTGGCTCACACATGTAATCCCAGCACTTTGGGAGGCTGAGGCGGGAGGATTGCCTGGGCTCAGGAGTTCGAGACCACCCTGGCCAACATGGTTAGAACACATTCATCTTTACAAAAATTACAAAAATTATCTGGGCATGGTGGCATGCGCCTGTAGTCCCAGCTACTTGGGAGGCTAAGCTGTGAGACTTGCTTGAACCCAGGAGGCGGAGGTTGCAGTGAGCCGAGATTGTGCCACTGCACTCCAGACAGGGTGACAGAGCAAGACTCCATCTAAAAACAACAACTAAATTTGAGGTTTCCAGCTTTAGAGACTCAATGGATGAATGAATAATGCAGATAGAAATGGAGTGGATCTGGTGGGAAGAATAAAACTTTGGCCTACGTAAGTTTAAGGTGCCTATGGGAGATCCAGGAGAAAATATGCAGTAGGTATTTAGGAATATAGTTCTAGATTTCAAGAAAGCGTTCAGACCTGGAGTTATATATTTAGACTGTAGCATTCATGTGTTAAAATGTAATTGCTAATGTGATAGTATTAAGAGGTGGGGCCTTAGGAGGTGATTAAGTCATGAGGATGGACCCCTCATGAATGGGCTGGCATTTTGATCTTGAACTTCCCAGCCTCCAAAACCCTGAGAAATAAATTTATATTATTAATCAATTACCCAGTCTCAGGTATTCTGTTATACCAGTACAAAGAGATTATGACCATATATAACATAATTTTAATAAAATATTTTATACCTCAGTTTTGGAAGAGAAAATAGGTTATTTCTAGATCTTCAGAATGCAAAACCCCTTTCTGGGCGTAAATTAGAAGATATAAAATTCTTTTAAAAAATCAAGATTTTTCAATTTTGAAATAGATTACTGTGAAAGAGAGTGAAGTCTCTGTCACTAGAAGAATTCAATTAGTCTTTTACGAAATCTCCACCATGCAGTTATGGGAAATGACCATATTTTTTCTCTAAACCTCTCTGTAACTATGGGATCTTACAGTCTAATATTTTTTCCCAGAATTCAAAACAATTAATTTGTTATCCTTATTGTGGAATAGTTCTTAGTGACTCACTTCATGAATGCAGGCATACTATGAGGAAATACTAAAGAAAGAATATGTATAAGATTTTATTTCCTATATATGAACAGGGTTCCAGACTCTAAATCAATAATTATGTAGGAAATCTCTGATTGCCCAGCTGTGCTACCTGCCCAGATTCATGGTCAAGTACAAAGCTTCCTTCATCAAACTTATAGTCAAGTATAGGATACAGAGAGGCAAATGGTAATTGGAATACAGAAAAATAAATGAGGAAATAAGGATGCTGTGAAAATAGAAGGTCATCAAACCCAGGTACAACTGGCATTTGGGAGGTCAGAGCACTCCCCCAGGCTATGCTGCTTAGACTGGCGTGGAAAGGATCAGCAGAACTAGTTCGATGACCATGGGAAGCAGGAAGAGCACCCATCTAGAGGCAGCTGGTACACAGGCTGGGCAGCTCAAAGATCAGTGTACCTGGAGTACATTGATAAGAAGCAAGTGGCAGAAGACTTGCTCAGCCATTAGATCATGACTAGGCTGAACTTTATCCAAGGAAAAAGGAAACTTTGAGATATTATAACCCCACAATGAACATAAGCAGATGTTAGAGAAATTGTTTGACTTCTGCCTGGAGAATCAATGGGTCAGATGATAGGAGGTGGGAAATCGATTAAGAGACCCCACTACATTAATCTGGGAGAGAGATCATCACTGTGAGTGAGTTAGGAACAGAGGCGTGGAAAGAGCTGGACTAGCTCAAAAGGTAGTGACAGTTTATCAAGAAAAACCATGGACTTCCCTAGGTTCATTTTTTTAATCAATTGAAATATTGGGCCCAAATACAAGTTTTCTAAGTAAAAAGTGGTTACTGTTCTCAATATATTGCAGTTTCCTATATGCCAGCCCGAAACTATTTATCAGCCAAATTTACTAACTCTCTTAGGAGTTACTGTCTTCATCAATTACACAGCTTATCTCTCAAAGCATTGGAAAAGCAAGAAAAAAAGGCCTGATTCCAGGACGTATCCAAACCCAGAATCTGAGATGCTCTTTCAGAATGTTTAAATTCAGGGTATTCCCCAAAATGCCATAGAGTGGTTGTCATGTCTTCTGTCCTCGTGTCCAGAAAGGAAGCTGTATTGAGTACCCTTGCTTCTTTCTGCAGGGATTCCCAGACCACTGGAGAGATGACCAAAAGAATCACATCATCTCTGCATACTTTTAATGAAGGATGTGTAAGTCTCGTGGCTGATACAATTTACCATCACATGGCATAAGGCCAAAAAAATATGTGGCAAGTTTCCAACAACAGATTTCAGGGACTTCTGAAAACTGTTGAATTAGAAGCGTAAGATTATGGAAATAATTTCCATTGTCAAATTGTGAAGTGGCAAACATTGGGAGCTGTCAGTATAGTTTTACAATTACAACTTGGCTGAGCTGTTGTAAATACGCAATTGTAGCCCTTTAAAATACCATCCAAAATTGTGATTTCACCTTCTGACTCCACCTGTCTCCTGTAGCCATTGCCTCTCTCTCAGAACTTCTCACAGCACCTCCTTCCTCAAGCAGCAGCCCTCTCTTGCTATTTCTCTTCACTTTCAAATTTCAGTTTCTCAGCAGATCTGACGGTAGTTTAGACTTACAGGGGAAATGACTGTTGTATCTCTGGGGTCGTTTGTATTGGGCTCAGAACAACTTTGTTTTCTGGAACAAGTGATCTAGTGGATAATCTACACGAGAGAGAGAGAGAGAGAGAGAGAGGGAGAGAAAGGCTATGCAAACACAGAGCTCTTCTTGAAAATCAGAATCTGTGATTACCACGATCCCGTATCTAGGATAACGCTAAGTTACAAAGAATATATACAATAAAGTTCCCTGGTTTTTAAAAAGAACAGATTTACTGACTCCAAGGAATTAGTTATTTAATCTTAGGGTTTCATGCTCTGTGGGAAGGAGATCTTTTGAAGGCCCACAAAATAATTCACTCTTGTACCTACATTCTGTATGCACATAAGGTCATCTCTGATTTAAACACACACACACACACACACACACACACACACACACACACACACACACCCTTCAGTTTGACAGTCCTTCTAGGAATGCAGCCCAGTGGATGTGCGAGTGAGTTGTGGGTGTACAGGTTCTACCCATTAGAGAAGGAGGCTCCCTTCTAGATGTTAGGGGAAGGCCAATGTTTAATACAGACAGGACCCAGTTCTCGTGAAGACAAGCTAGATAAACATCTAGTTGCATAAACAGACACACTGAAATGTAGGCAATTGTTAATGCAGGGGTGTCTGGAGATTGTGAATCTGTTATTTAGTTTGATGAAAGGTATGGGAGGTATCCAGTTTAGGTCCTGATTACTGATGTGTCAAGAAGTTAGAAATATAACCACATGTCTAGGGCAGTTTGGAAACAAGAAACAGGGACTGCATATATTAAACAGGTTACTTAGTGTTATACAATGTGGCCCTTTTTTTTTGATGCGAAGAGAGATCTGACTGAGAATTTTAAAAGCACATTTGTTTTTCAGAAATACATTTTCCTAATGCATATGTGTTTATGATTTAAGCCACTTAGAATAAAGCTTTACATCCTATAATAAAAAAGGAAATGAACCAGAGGCCTGGGTGACACTGCTGTCAACTAATCAACCTGAGACTTTATGTGGGCTTCTGTCTACAACACCTTATTTCATAAATATGGTGGATCCATTCACATTGATCTCAAAACAGCAGTATAACTCTGCCTGAAGGAAGCTCATCTAAGACACATTTTCTCCTTGAGGAATGTCACAGCCTTCCTGCGCTTTGGAACATGAGGCAACATTTCAGGACTGTGCTCAGGGGCCATTAAAACAATGATATCACCACGAAAACACCAAACTCCCGCACATACACACACACACGCACAAAATGTAAGAAAAGCGACACTCAACAGACAGTGAGAAGGACACCTGTTTATGGTATGAGTGAAACAAGAAAGCAGAGTGGCTCCTTGTTGGACCTCAGCTGGGAACGTGTGTGTTGGGCAATTTAAACATTTCAGCTCCCTGGGCGTGGCTGCAAATGATGCAAAAGTTCCCTGAGTATTGACTTTTGAGATTATAAATATATTTTACCAAGTAGTAAAGTGGAATTCCCAAATAATGAGGTTCAACTGGATGTGAATAACCTCTGGTCAGACATTGAACATCATGCAACAAAAAGAGACAGGAAACAAAAGGACAGACTCATTTCCTGGAGGCAGTTTGCAGGCTGGGAGGCAGAGAGAGTCAACCCAGAAAGAGTTGGTCTTGCTGAGTTGAGGAGGCAGAGTTCAGTTCACTGAAGCTGATGCGGCTAGAAATTTTGAGACAGAATACCAGAGAATAGGGAGAGAGAGAGAGAGAGAGATTGAGAGAGAGAATGATATCCACAGGTCTATTGAGGCAGCCTGAAGGAACATCCACATAGCAGTCTACCAAACAATTCTTAAACCTAACCTATGGATAGGAATAATTTGTGATGCCTTATAGAACTGGAGGCATTAGGCAGAGTCCTGGAAAGGGTGTAGCCACTGTAGTGAACAAAGCTAGCTCAAGGGCAGAGACTGCTATGCACCTGCAAATCCCAAACTAAAAAGTAAGCCTTGACAGGGTCCAATTAATCTGCAAATAAGTGCATGCCAGTGCAAAATGTATCGCTTCTTAAAAAAATGAAACAAAATCCAGCACTCTACAATACAATGTACTATGTATGGTAATCAGTAGGAACTTAGAAGGCATACAAACTGAAACATAGGACTTCTAACAGGAGAAAAAGCAATCAGCAGAAACAGACACGAAGGGCAGAGACAATGAAATTATAAGACAAAGATCTGAAACAGCTACTAAAAACATAAATACACTCAAGAATGTAAAGTAAAATATGAACAGAATGAGAAAAAAAATAATTCAAATAGAACTTTCAGGGATAAAAATTCAAAATTCAGTAGAATTTACACTGTAAACATAATAGAGTTTTCAATATTCTTCCTTCGGTAACTGATAGGACGAGTAAACGAATACACACACAAAATCTGTAGGACTAGAGCACTGTAACTGTTAAAGCAATTACCCTCATAGTTTAAAAATATTCCACAAAGAAAATTCCAAGTTCAAGTAGCTTAACTGGTGAACTCTATAAAATATTTAAGAAAAAGTTGGCCTGGCATGGTGGCTCACGCCTGTAATCCCAGCACTTTGGGAGGCCAAGGTGGGTGGATCGAGGTCAGGAGATTGAGACCACCCTGGCTAGCACAGTGAAACCCCGTCTCAACTAAAAATACAAAAAATTAGCCAGGCATGGTGGCATGTGCCTGTAGTCCCAGCTGCTGGGGAGGCTGAGGCAGGAGAATTGCTTGAACCCGGGAGGCGGAGGTTGCAGCAGTGAGCGAAATTGCGCCACTGCGCTCCAGACTGGGCGACAGAGCAAGACTCCGTCTCAAAAAAAAAACAAAAAAGAAAAAGGTATATGAGGTTTATAGACACTCCTTCAGAAAACACATTTGGAGGGAACACCTCCCAATTTGTTTAATGTAGCTAGACTTACCCTACTAGGGAAACCAGAAAAAAAGACATAACAGGAAAAGAAAAGTGCAGACCAATAACCTTCAACACATAGGGTACAAAAATGTGTAACAAAATATTAACAAATCAAATGCAGCAATGTATAAAATAAATAGTAGAGCATGTCTAAGGTAGCTTTGTACCAGGAATTTAAGGTTAGTTTAATATTCAACAATAAAACAATTTACTATAGAATACAAAGAAATACTGTATGATAATCTCATTAAGTGCATAAAAGCATTGAAGAAAATTCCAACACTTACTCATAATTCTTAGCAAAATATGAATAGAAGAGAACTTCACTAAAATTAGTAAAGCAGTCTTTATATAAAATCTGTAGCTAATATCATACTTAATAGTGAAATATTGGGTGCTTCTTTCTCTAGGATGGAGAGCAAAGTAATGGTGTTCACCCCTATCTTCTCTTTTCACAACTGTGCTAGAGGGCTCAGACAGCCAAACAAAGCAATGAACAGAAACCAAAGGATACAGATGGTAAAGGAAGAAGTAAAACTTCTGTATTTGGAAACAATGTTAGTGTCTACCTAGAATACACAAGGAATTTTCAAATCAACTATTAAGACTAATAGGTGAGCTTAGCAAGGTCACTGGATTCAAAAATCAATTAATTTTCATACATTAGGGGAAAAAAACTGAAGTTCAGTAAATGATACTATTTATAACAACACAAAAATAAAATTCTTAAATTTAAATCTAACAAAATTTACGTAAGACTTACTTATATACTGAAAACTACAAAACATTCCTGAGAGGAATTAAAGAAGGCCTAATTAAGTTGAGGGATATAACATGTTAATTAAACTGGATATTAAACATTGCTAAGATGTCATCTCCCTAAAATTGATCTATTGATTTAACACAACCACAATCATAATATCATCAGAAAATATGACAAGCTTATTTTAAATTTTTATGGAAACCAATAGAAGTTAGAGTACCTGGAAAAAAATTGAGAAAGAACAAAGCTGGAAAACTTCCAGTACCTACTTTCAAGACTTACTAGAATGCAACAAAAATCAATACAGTGTGGTACTGATGTAAGAATAAACAAATAGACTAATGCAGCAAAACAGACTCAAGAAACAGACCTGCACTTACATAGTTAATTGATTTTTTAAAATCTTTTGTTTTATGTTCAGGGGTTATGCCCAGGTTTGTTACATGAATAAATTGTGTGTCACAGGGGTTTAGTGTACAGATTATAGTGTACAGATTATCACCCAGGTAATAATCTGTACCTATCAGGTACTATGCTACACTCCATCCTCAAGTACACATGTATCCATTTGTACTCAACGTTTAACTCCCACTTAGAAATGAGAATACGTGGTATTTGGTTTTCTGTTCTGGTGTTGGTTTGCTAAGGATAATGGCCTCCAGCTGCATCCATGTTGCTATAAAGGACATGATCTCATTTTTTATGGCTGTGTAGTATTCCATGGTGTATATGTACCACATTTTCTTTATCCAGTCAACCATTGATGGGCATTTCGGTTGATTCCATGGCTTTGCTACTGGGAATGAATAGTGCTACAATGAACATACATGTGCATGTGTTTTTATGGTAGAATTATTTATACTCCTTTGGGCATATACCCAACAATGGGATCGCTGGGTTAAATGGTAATAATGTTTGAAGTTCTTTGAGAAATTACCACATTGCTTTTCATAGTGGTTGAACTAATTTACATTCCCACCAGCAGTGCATAAGCAGTCCCTTTTCTCCATAACCTTGCTAGTATCTGTTATTTTTTGACTTTTTAATAATAGTCATTCTGATTGGTGTGAAATGGTACTTCATTATCGATTTGATTGGCATTTATCTAATGATTAGTGATGTTGAACTTTTTGTCATATGCTTGTTGGCCACCTGTATGTATTCTTTTGAAAAGTGTCTGTTCATGTCTTTGGCCACTTTTTAATGGGGTTGTTTTTTGCTTGTTAATTTGTTTAAGTTCCTTTTAAATTCAGGATATTAGATCTTTATCAGGTGTAGAGTTTGCAAATATTTTCTCCCATTTTGTAGGTTGTCTATTTAGTCTGTTGAGTTTCTTTTGCTGCGCAGAAGCTTTTTAGTTTAACTGGGTCCCACTTGTCAGTTTTTGTTTTTGTTGCAATTACTTTTGGCATCTTTGTCATGAAATATTTGCCAGGACCCATGTCCAGAATAGAGTTTTCTAGGTTGTCCTCCAGGGTTTTTATAGCTTTAGATTTTACACTTAAGTTTTTAATCCATCTTGAGTTGATTTTTGTTTATGGTATAAGGAAGGGGTTCAGTTTTAATCTTTTGCATATGGCTAGCCAGTTATCCCAACACAATTTATTGAGTAGGGAGTCCTTTCCCCGTTGCTTGTTTGTGTTGACTTTGTCAAGATCAGATGCTTCTAGGTGTTTGGCTTTATTTCTGTACTCTCCATTCTGTTCCATTGGTCTATGTGTCTGTTTTCATGATTTGACATAGACTTTAAAGTTCTTCAACAGAGAAAGAGAAGTATTTTAGTAAATAATACTGGAACAACTGAATATCTATATGCACAAAAAAAGGAAAAGGAAAGAAAAAATCTCAAATATTACTTTTTGCCAGAAAAACTAAAAACATCAATAAATAAATCATAAGTCATGCTATTGTGATTAATCATATACCTAAATGTAAGGGCTAAAACTATGAGACTTCTATAAGAAAACATGAGAAAATGTTGGGGATCTTGAGCTAGATAATGATTTCTCATAGGACACAAAAAGCTATTGCTGGCCAGACATGGTGGTTCATGCCTGTAATCCCAGCATTTTAGGAGGCCGAGGCGGGCGGATCACCTGAGGTCAGGAGTTCGAGACCAGCTTGGCCAACATGGTGAAACCCCGTCTATACTAAAAATACAAAAAAATTAGCCAGATGTAGTGCCAGGCACCTGTAATCCCAGCTACTCAGGAAGCCGAGGCAGAAGAATCTCTTGAACTGGGAAGCCAGAGGTTGCAGTGAGCCTAGATTGCACCACTGCCCTCCAGTTGGGGCGACAGAGCAAGACTCTGTCTCAAAAAAAATAAACTAAAAAAGCAGTACTTATATTAAAACATTCATAAATTGGACTTTAACAAAATTAAAACCTTTGCACTGTAGAAGACAATGCTAAGAAAATGGAAAATGCAAGGCACAGATGTGGAGAAAATATTTGCAAAAATATGCACCTGAGAATGGACTTGTATCCAGACTGTATAAGAACACTGTTAATGGAAAAATGACTCTGACACATGCTAAAACAGTGAGAAGGACTTTATTTAGGATGATTGTAATAAGTGTCAGAATTATCATAATGGGGAGAGAGATCAGGCTCAACTCTGAATATAAACAAGATAGCAGATATTACAGCCAATGGGCAGAGTGAGGGCTCAGTGGATGAACAAAGATTAGGAGGAGGCAGCATAATCACAGGTAGGGGGTTTCTAGCTAAAGGCAGGCTAAGGGCTCATACATTAAGGATCTGGAATGAGACATGTGATCAGGTATCACGGGTGGAGGATTCTCTCTAAACTGACTCAGCAGGATTCCTGGTAAACTGGGCAGGCCAAAACCTGGGCTAAATTGGGATACAGCTAAACTGGGCAGGCCGAAAACAGGGGCCGAGGAAGCGGCTAAGAGGAAAAGAGAGTTCAGGGGAGGCTGTCGAAAGTTTGGTCAAGGAGAGAGTTTTGTCAAAACTTACAATTCAATATTAAGAAGACAAGTAATTGGGAGGCCAAGATGGGAAGATTGCTTGAGCCCAGGTAATCAAGACAATCCTGGGCAACATGGTGAGACACCCATCTCTACCAAAAAAACCCAAAAAATTAGGCATGATGATGTGCACCTGTAGTCCCAGCTACTCAGGAGGATGAAGCAGGAGGATCGCTTGAGCCCAAGAATTTGAGGCAGCAATGAGTTATGATGGTGCCACTGCACTCCAACTTAGGTGACAGAGCAAGATCTATTCTCAAAAAAAAAAAAAAAAGAAAAAAAGAAAAAGAAAAGAAAAAAAGGAAAATTAACCAGTTTTTTTTTTTTTTTTTAAATTTGAACAGAAACCTAAAAAAAGAAGGTACAACATGTCAAGTAAGAACATAAAAAAGATGTTCAACATCATCATTCCTTAAAAAATGTAAATTAAGCCCACAAGGAGTTAACCACTTTCTACATGCTAGAGTGGCCTTAAGTATTGGACATAGATGTGGAGCAGCTGCGACACTCATACTGTGCTGTTGGAAGTGCAAAGTGGTAGCCAATAGGCAAAATATTTTGGCAGTTTCTTAAAAAATTAAACATATACTTATTCTGTGGCCCAGCAATCCCACACCTAGATGTTTACCAACTATGTTCGCACAAAGAAATACTCATTTATGTTTAATGTAGCTTTATTAGCCCAATCCTGGCAACAACCAAAATACCCATGGACTGGTGAATGGATAAATGCATTGTGGCAGTGTATCCATAAAACAGAATACTATGCAACAAGGAAAAGGAATCCATTTGTTTGAAGACAATTCTCCATGGGGTTTCTACATGTCTTATGACAGCTTTTCTCTGGGACTATCTTTTCTTGGATGTTTGTATGAAAAACAGCCTGTGAGGACAGACAGAGTGACTGTACTGTGGCACTCTGTTTTCTGACTAAATGTCTTCCTCTAGGGTTAACACTAGGTAGGTTCAATGGCAGCCCCTTCTCAGCCTGGTGGAATGATAAGCCCAGGCTTCCTTAGTTATGACACGGACCCTATGAGTGTGCCACATTTCAGGGCTACTTGGGGACTTGCAGGACAAAGGGAACATGATGAAACACACGCTTCCTGCTGGGTTATGAGCAACAAAGTCCCTCATCTCTGACCCAATGATCTAGTGTCTCCTGCCAGAATCCATGAAACAGTGGCAGGCTCACTTGTCAGCATGTGAGCAGGGTAAAATTTCAAACCCTTCGCAGTCCTGTGCAGAACTACAGATAAATGCAATGGCGTGGATGAATTTCAAAAGTATGCTCTGTTTTTGTCACATTTGTCAAAGATCAGATGGTAGTAGAAGTGTGGTATTATTTCTGAGGGCTCTGTTCTGTTCCATTGGTCTATATCTCTGTTTTGGTACCAGTACCATGCTGTTTTGGTTACTGTAGACTTGTAGTGTACTTTGAAGTCAGGTAGCGTGATGCCTCCAGCTTTGTTCTTTTGGCTTAGGATTGTCTTGGCAGTGCGGGCTCTTTTTTGGTTCCATATGAACTTTGAAGTAGTTTTTTCTAATTCTGTGAAGAAAGTCATTGGTAGCTTGATGGGGATGGCATTAAATTTATAAATTACCTTGGGCAGTATGGCCATTTTCACGATATTGATTCTTTCTATCCATGAGCATGGAATGTTCTTCCATTTGTTTGTGTCTTCTTTTCTTGAAGTGGAGAAATCAAAATATAGAAAAAAGTACAAATAGCTTTTATTCTTAATCCTATGGGAATGAAAAGAAAGTAAATGTTAACATCTCAAAAACTTTTCCCACCACATTCTCACAGTTTCTATTTTGGTCTTCAATAAGACAACTTATTGGATCTGAATTCTTGGTCTTAGGTCCTAGTACATTTCTCTGAAGCCTTCTCATTACAGAATTCCTGAATTAAGTATTCCTTTTCCCTCCCCATGAATTGTATATTGTAAGAGGAATACATTATTTTGATTTTGTAACATCGCAAAGCCAAATATGCAGAGATTAGAAGATTCTTGAAAAATTAAAAGTATTTTAAGATATATTTGGTTAACAGAATAACTCAAACTTCCTTCTCAAACTTGGCATTTGCTCATCCTTCACAAACCACCGCTCTTAAATTATACACTCTGCATAACAGTCATGGTTATAATTGATGGTCAATCACAGCAGACCAAAACAGATCTGCCCAAACAACGTATTACATTCAAGGCATTCTTCTCTGTTTATGACAAACAGAAATTGTGGCTGCATATGACCATTTCTGAGTTTTCCCATATATTGATATTGGTTTAAAAAATAGTTTTTAAAGATAGCTACAGTAACAGTAACACAATATAATTTGAATTTACGTGGCATACTTAGAAACTAAATTATAGTAACTCTACTTTTAATTTGTGGGGTAGAGAAGCTATGTGCAACTTTCCAAATAAAACCAATAGACCAAATCCTGCCACAAGATCTTGGCCTCTCTCGATACAGTGCCAACTCTCCAGCACATGGCTCCTTTCTGGGTGGCACTGATAATGAGACGTGTCAAATTCTAGCAATGGAATATTATCAGAAGAAAACCCATGCTATGATTGGATGACAGTGGTCTGCCTCTGTGTCTATAACTTTTTATGGCTCATATAGAAATGGCAATATGATGTTATAGAGAATATTTGAGTGGAGCTTAGAAAAGCTGAGTGCTGAGATGGGGCCACCCACCAGCTAGCCGTGGACTTTGCAAGTCTGCACTCTCCATGACCTTATTTTTCTCATCTGTAGAAGTAGAGGATAAGTCTAGAAAATGCCCAAGCTTCCTTCCAATGCTAAAACTATGAGGAACAAAATGATTAATGGTTTCATTTAGTCAATTAATATCCTTACCTTAGAATCATAAATTTACCCCATAATAAAAACAATTTATTATATATTTATCTTAATAAGTGTGGTAAAGAATATACAGAATCATGATTGTTATGGCTTAGAGGTTGGGATTGCCTGTATAAGGGTAATAACAAACATGATAAGACAGGCATCGTTCTAGCGTTTTACATATATAAACTCATTTAATCCTCAGAACCACCCTATAAGGTAGCCAGTATTGTTACTACTCTTTTACAGATAAACAAAAATATTATAATAAACCTTCCCATTATAAAGTAGACCCGCCAAACATATGATGCTTTATTGGTATTACCTTAGGACCCTCACATTCCCCTCCTGCCCAACCCACCCCAGCCTCAGCTCTCTTCCTTACTCTTCACACAGCCCCAACATATAGAGCGATCCCTTGCATCACTAAAACTCAGGTGGAGGTGCACTTGGACAGTGACTAAAATTCAGATGAGAGATGGAGATTATTGGTAGAGATTTTGGAATTCTCAGCTTCCCGGGAGGTTTCAAATCCTGGTTATTGATAAACTCTACCAAATGGAACATACACATAAGAAAAGAGGAAAGCCAAGGCAGGAAACACCAACAATTGCCAAGTGGACAAAAGAAGAGTATGTAGGTGATCATATTCATCACTAATGTCCGCTTTCCACCCACTCCCAGGAAGAGGCCTGTCTTTCCCTGCACTAGGGGAGTAGGCTTGGTTATATGACTAGCTTTGGCCAATGAAATGAGGTGGCAGAAGCTTCAGGGCCAGATTTGTTCTTTGCTGGGTTTACTTTTTCCTCTGCCACCGTGACCAGCACGGTTCAGAGAGGCTGCCCTGGTTGAGGGGCTACCAGACCAAAATGAGACAACACAATAAATATACAGCATAACGGAAATCAGTCTTTGTTCTCTTAAGCTACTGAGAAATTAATACATTGAGGAGAATAAGGAGGAGGGCCCAGAAAGGCACATGCTGAACAAGTGGACAGCAGTGCCACCAAAGTCTAAATCAGAGCATGGGGAGAAAAGTCAAGAGCGTCAAATGCTAAAAGAGGTAGAGTTACAGGACAATGGGACCCTCTATTTGATCTTATTGAAAGCACTTTCAATGCAAGAGTAGGGACTACAGCCAGACTGCAGTGGTTAGTGTCAGTGCGAATGCAAGGAAATGAAAATAGTAATGCAGAGAATTCTTTTTAAAAATTAAAGGATTAAGAGAGAGAAGGTTACATAGGGAGATAGACGGAGAGTTGAGTAACACTCAGTTGCACAGGGGAAGTGGCAGGACATCCCATATTTACTGGGCAAGCATCCTAAGGAGCTGGGGCAATTAAGAGTATGACATGCAACCATGAAAAATGATGGGGTTACCTGTGTCCATGTGTAGTCCACAATAAATTATTTTTTTTCTGAGCACACATCTCTCTTCCAGTGAGTTATGTACATTTGTAAATGCTCCCCTGATACCCAGGTCACTCTCTCATATTTTTTAATAGCCTTATAGATAGACACATGTGTGCACAGACACATGAGGCTATCAGGTAATAAGTATGGTATGATATCAATATATTTGCTTTTTTTGATATCTGAATTAAAATTGAGTCCAAGAGGATCTTAAATAAGCCACAAGCCAGTTCCCAGCCTGGAGTTTGAATCCACATTACAAAATTCAGTGTTTTGTGCCATGGGTGAAGTTAATTAACCTCTTTGAGCTTCTATTTATTACCTAACCTTAACCAACACACACACACGCACACGCACACGCACACACACATAGTAATTATATAGTCCAATTAAAAAATTTAAAGCATATTAATTTACATGTAATCCTCACATTTTGGGAGGCTGAGGGCAAGAGGATCACTTGAGGCCAGGAGTTCAAGACCAGCCTGGGAAACATAGACCCCATTTTTAAAAAAAAATTAGCCAGGCATGGTGGTACACATCTGATGTCCCAGCTACTCAGGAGACTGAAGCAAGAGGATCGCTTGAGCCTAGGAGTTTGAGGGTACAGTGAGCTACGATTGAGACCCTGTACTCCAGCCCGGGTAACAGAGTGAGATCCTGTCTAGAAAAGTAAAATAAAATAAAATAAAATAAAATCATTTGTTTATTGTTTCTAGAAGGTAGAAAACAGGGGAAGAAACTTACTGAAAATGCAAGTGATACTGGACACAGGCAGCAATCAGTGGTGAAGACTCCTAACCTGACAAGTGTCCAAAGAAAACACATGGAAGGGAATAAATGGGTCAGTTTTTAAAATTCCTTAATTGAAAACTCAGATAAAACATGATGAAAAATTGTTCTTATAATTATTATGCTAACTTTATTATAATCATGATAGATTGAAAATCCCCAGTAACAATTTCTAAGTTTTATGGCATTCTTCATTTTTCTAAAAACTATTATATGACTAATTCTAAATATATGCGAATTTAAGAAACTTTTCATGTAAAGTGTCCGATTCCTGAAATATATGCAATCAAAGATGAGGAGAACAACAGCTTCTTAAACTTGCCAAATGTATATGATACTAAGAAAGGAAATACCTGGGTTTATCTTAACGGTTGAGAACTGAAACTGACTCTTAAATTATTTTGTTGCAATGTCCCAAAGATTATCATTAAAATTTGAATTTAATAATAGCTACAGCAGTGTTTTGGACACCGCATATGTCATAGAACCATTACAATAATTTTAATGGGGAGGGACTTCAGAAATTATTCAGTCCCTTGCATAGTAAGTTACTGAGACCTAGAAAGAGTAAATGACTTAGTCAAAGTCATGCATCTTAGAAAAAAAATCCATTAGCATCAAATTTGAGATAAATGAGTACAAATAATAGTTCTAATATTCTTATAGTCCCATTAATGTGCATCTCATAAGTGGGCTGCATTTATAGTCCAGCTGTAGTTTTCAATTATAGCTTTTTCAGTTCAGTCCCTTGAGCTTAAGAGTTGATTCAGATTCACATTAAAGATTACACCCTTTTGTTCTGTGATACTCCCTCCTTTCAGCAGGCATGAGTCCCTCACAGATGTAACAGGACAATGTGTACATTTGATGCATTGAGAAGGGGGCTCTTATGTCACCCAGTTTTTATCGGATCATAATTGATAGATGACTATTTTAAGAAATGGCACAATAATTAAACATACATGTAACTAAACTTACCCACCAGTACACAAAGCACTGAAGAAGCAAACAGAGTGGGTGGGGGCCTAAGGGGACAACCATAAATGAGTCCCCAAAGTTTTCTTGCAGAAAGCATAAAAAGGAGAATTCATATAGCCATAAAAATCTCTGCCGAAATGTCTGCAGAGACATTTAGATATACATGCCTATATACATTCTCTTTTTTACAGTTTCTGCAAGCAAAACTTACATTAATAAAACATATTCAACATATTTGCTCTCCTCTAAATTCATCCAAAGAGTGAAACTCCAATTACAAAGAACTATTTTATTTTTTTTTCTTAAACATTATAAAGGGTAGCCAGTATAGAAATGGGAGGTGACAAGATGGCATTTGATCTATGAGTCCATCCTCTGAAAAGGAAAATGTCCAGAAAGAAGTCATTGAAGGTGTGTGTGTGTCCTTTGTTACTTAGAGTATATTTCACTCCAAATGAAATGAAATGCTGAGGCTCATAGGCTGCTCGAGTGTCCCTCATAGACGCCAATTAGCACTGGTGCCCAGTGGCAGCCCGGCTGAAGCGCCGTCTACAGGTGCTCACCCATTACACACAGCGGGAAGTTGCATTGCTCTAAAACCACAAGCCACTGCTTTGATGGTTCAGGAGACCTTGGCCTTTTAAACGTATAAACAACCTTTCTTTTCTAATCTGGGCCATTAGAGGGAAATGCTGTGAAAGCCTGTATTCTGAAATAACCAGGTTTGCTCAGAGTCATGACAGTTTTCAATCTTGCTGCCTGTAATAGAAGAATAGCATTCAACTAAAAATAACATGGGTGCGGGATGTGCCTTGGGCACCTACTGAGGCCTACAGGGTTTCAGATTAATTTGAAACTGAGCAAAGGTGGATTTTTTTCTCTCTGCTTTGGCCCTTTTGTGGGTGTTGTAATCATGGGGAAAATTTGTCCACCTAATGAGCTCTAGGCACAGGAAGAAGAGAAACTGTAGTCAAGATGAAAACACTCATCAGACAAGCCTATGGCTTTTCTTTTCTAAATTATCATTATAATTATTAATAAGCAGTTATTGATGCTGTCCCATTCCTTAGTAATAGTTATGTTCATCTACAAAATACTCATGTGCAATCAAGTACTATAATTAAAATAAATGAATAAATAATTATGGATAGTGTTTCAACACTTTGAAAGGTGCTAATAAAATTAAAGACAGGCTAAAAGCACCATGTTTTGCATACCTTAGGACACAGAAAAGTTTATCATAGTCAATGTAGTTGTAAGTTTTGGATTCATTTTATTGCTTTTGGGGGCAATTGATTGAACTGATAAGATGCTAATTCAAACATTCCAGTAAGTCTTTGAATGTTCTAAAAACTCATGCAATTTCGGATGTCATAACCATCTTTCAAAAATCAGAGCTCTATCTTAATTCGCATGTCACTCTCAGGTGTTTCACTTTATAACATCTGCACCTACCAGAGCCTTGGCTCTATGTATGCTGATAAATGAGAACAAAAAAAAAGGCCACCCTATGTCCTCCTGAAAACAGAATGAAGCGTAACCCAAAACATGACTTTTAGGTTTGGGTACAGATTGAGGATTCAGGAAGGGAGGAAGGGAGACAACACAGAATAAGAGTATGCAAAAGGAAATCTATATCTTTCGGCTAAATATGAAATTTTGATACCCTTCCTCCCCATAATTCAAAGCAAGCTCTTTCTTGGACAGGACAATGGGAGAACGAAGGGTGGCCCTAGTATATCAGGAAAATGAATTAGCAGTGCATGAGACATAATGGATAAATCTACAGGGAAAAGTACTCCTGCTGTCTAGGTCCAAACATCCATTAAGTGGAAAGGTAGATATTTTGTAGCTTTATTGGGGTGGTCATTTTAGCACTGGTCATTTCATTTGTTAGTTCCCCTTTTAGAAACTCTCTCTCTTCAAAAGAGAAACGTCAAAAGAATCTAGGACACCAAAGGGGCTAATATATATAATTTGTTTTATGACATTAAATATACTACTGCAGATGGTTTGAGATTTTAAGAATATATTCAAAGGAACTAAAGATGACTCCTCAATGTATGTTATAGAAAATGTTTACCTAAATGCTTAGAAAATAAAATGGCCTAATAAACTGAGAGCTAAACATAAAACTGTTTTGCTTGTTTCATGGTGGATAAATCTTTCTCAAACACTAATGAATATATAGTGCAATGTCTTAATCGTCTTTGCATATATGGAGTTCAGTACCGTACTGGCAAACACCAGGTGCTTGATAAGAGTATGTTGAGTTAAGTAATGTTAAGTAATTAAATCTTTCTGTTAAATACGATTTGTGAAATGCCTGAGAATACATACCTACTTAAATTTTCATTATATTTTATACACAAGAAAAGATTTCATATCTAAATCTGACTTTTTCCATATCATTATTTATTCTTGTAACAACCCCTATAAGTAGGAAGGATAAGTTTTACTATCCTATTTCGTATCTGTTGATCACACACATTCACACAAGTAGTCATTTGCACTGATTTTATAATGAGAAGACTTTTGACATTAGCTTATTTGTTTCATTATCTCCATTTTCCTTCTAAATTTGATCAAAGAAAACACAGGCCAGTTAACTGACAACCCTCACTATTTCCTTCTAGTTGAGAGTTTACTGTGCATACCACCCACATGCACACGCTCTAACTACAACAGTAATTTTAGAACTTTTTGGTCTCAGGTTCCCTTAACATTCCCAAGAATTATTAAGGACCACGAGCTTGAGTTTATGCAGGTCATGTCAAGCAATATTTAAATATTAGAAATTAAAGTGGAGAATTTTAAAAAATTGCATTAATGCATTTAAGAATAAGAACAATAAATGCATTCTACATTAACATAAATGTTATTAAAAATAGCTAGATTCTTCAAAACCAAAAACTAGTAAGATGTGTGATACTGCTTTACATCTTTACAAATCTCTTAATGCCTTGCTTAATGAAGACACCTAGGTTCTCATCTCTGTTTCTGTATTCGATCTGTTGTCAAATGTCCTTTTGTTTCAAACATAGGAAGAAAACCCAACTTCACACATATATGTATATATGTAATTTTAACAGGGAAGAACATCTTAATTGCCTATTAAAAATTCTGTATGAAAATTCTTCTTTGAAATTGCTCTAAGACTTGACAAATGGTAGTTTTTTTAATGTTAATTGAAAAGTGGGTCTGGAACCCTTTCAATTAGCTTTTTCTCTCCCATATTAAACTGCAATGGTCTATCTCACGCTTTGAAGACATCTGTTAACTTACAAATAATTCCGTAACATCATTCTTTTGCAATTTGGAAAATGTTGCTTTGCTAAGTTATACAGATCTTCCAAATGTTGACATATTTCACTATTTAATATTTAAAAATTACAGTTGTTAATATTGCCACTGATCTCACCAAAATAGTATTGGGAAGCAGTGGCAGATACAATTTTTCCAAAATTTTAATTTTAATTTTAATTTTCACTTGGAATCTTTAAGTTTGTGATTGGACACAAATACTGTCAGTTGTTTTTCTTAAGTAACAGGCTTATTTTTTTAATGCCCCCCCAGATGGCCAGGAAATACTCTAATAGAATAACCATAGTTTACCTATCAAGTCAGTTTCTAGAGTAAAATACTGTTCTATGTTAAAAATAAACTGGTTAGTTCAGCTGACAACTCAGTCACTCAGATGCTTTTCCTGAAGAAAACCATCATTCTGCTAGGGCAGCATATGTGTTTTATGGGTAATTTCCATTTGGTCAAACAGAATAGTACAAAGATGTACAGCCAAGGGTTGAGATTTCAATAAAATTTATAATTTTCGCTGGTTTGTCAAAGATGTTTGTAAATGAACCAGGCTTTTTACCCCCTGTGAGTATATGATAGTGAAAATGCAATGAGTACTAGGATTGTTTGGTGCTGCTGCCCCAATTCTTGCTTAGGATCATACCTCCCTTTTCCCACATTGCTTTTTTATCATCATTACAAATGTCAGCACAGTGAAAAATACAAATTAAAATTTTATATTATTGTAAAGATAATTTTGACCCGATGGAACCACTGTAAAGGGCTCTGCAGACCACATTTGGAGAACCACTGGTCTACAAAAACAAAAAAGTCATCATGAAGACAACATAATATAGTTGAAAGAATTTGCAATCATATTGACCTGAATTTGAGGCCCAGCAGTGTTTGTAACTACTTAGGTAAATTGGGACATGTTTCTAAATATTCTTGGACTTAGTTATTTCATCTGTCAAATGGAATTGCAAATATAACTGATAGAAGGGGTTGGTAAACCACTACCCATCAGTCAAAGCACCTGCACCACTTCTATTTTAGGCTCAGTGACAGTGATTCAATCTGGATTTACTGTGAATCTTCATAATTTTTAGTACAATGCCATTTAAAAATATAAATGCATATTTCAAAGCTAGACAATTAAAAGAGAGAAAAATGAGACTATCTTCTAGAGGTGTGTTGTTTATTACAGTACTTACTAGTTAGTTGTGGCTATTGAACAGTTGAAATGTGAATAGTTTGAATTGAGATGTGCTTTTTGGGAGAAGCTAATATTTCCATATGACTCTGAGTGTGTTGCTTTCTTATTATCCTTTCAATTTGAGGAACTCTTTTTAGCATTTCTTGTAGAGCATGTCTAATGATAATAAATTCTCTCCACTTTTGATTATCTTGGAAAGTCTTAATTTCTCCTTTGTATTTGAAGGACAGTTTTGCTGAATAAAATATTCTTCAATGACGTTTTTTTCTTCGCACACTTTGAATATATTATCCACTCCCACTGGCATGCAAAGTTTATGCTGAGAAAGCCACTGCTAATCTCATGGAAGTTCATTGTATATGATTAATTGCTTTTTTTCTTGATGCTTTCAAGAATGCCTCTTCATCGAGTTTAAGCACTTTGATTATAATGTCTTGTGGTGTGGTTCTTGTTGAATTTATCCAAATTTAAATTTCTTGAGCTTCTTAAATCTGTGTATTTGTTTCTTTTTTCTTTTTCTTCCTTCCTTCCTTCCTTCCTTCCTTCCCTCTTTCCTTTTTTTTTTTTTACAGAGTTTCACTCTTGTCTCCCAGGCTGGAGTGCAATGGCACATTCTCGGCTCACTGCAACCTCTGCCTCTCGGGTTCAAGCCATTCTCCTGCCTCAGCCTCCCGAGTAGCTGGGATTACAGGCACCCACCACCACACCCGGCTAATTTTTTTTGTCTTTTTAGTAGAGATGGGGTTTCACCTTGTTGGTCAGGCTGGTCTTGAACTCCTGTCTTCAGGTGATCCACCTGCCTTGCCCTCCCAAAGTGCTGGGATTACAGGCATGAGTGACCATGCCCAGCCTGTGTATTTGTTTCTTTCCTCAGATTTGGGAAGTCTGGGATCAATATTTCCTCAAATAAGCTCTGTGTCCCTTTTTTTTTCCCCTTTCCAAGACTCCCATAAAGTGTATACTGTCCCATAAGATCCTTTGGTTGTCTTTGGCTTTTTTCATTCATATATCCTTTTGCCTCTCTAATTCAATGATTTTATATGACCTATCATTAAGCTTGCTGATTCTTCTGCCTAACCAATCTGCTGTTGTACCCTTCTAATAAATTTTTTTGTGTCAGTTATTTTATTTTTCAGCTCTAGAATTATGGTTCAGTTCATTTTTCTAGTTTCTATCTCTTTGTTGATATTTTCATTTTGTTCATAAGACATTTTTCTGATTTCATTTAGATATTTATCTGTGTTCTTTTTTTAGCTAATTGAACATCAATTTGACAGTGATTTAAAATTTTTTGTCAGGCAGCTCGTAAATCTCTGTTTCTTTATGAATATTTCTGGAGTTTTATTCTGTTCCTTTGACTGGGCCACATTTGCCTGTTTCTTTGTATGCTTTGCAATTTTTCGCCTGGAGTGGGGTGTTTGAAGAAACAAACCACCTCTCCCTATCTTTCTGTACTGGCTTCCTGCAGGAAAAGACCACCAATCAGCCCAGTTGACAGTTTTAAGATCTCTCAAACCTTGCTTGATCTCTTTTGAACCCTAAAGTGTGCCTGTGGAACTACAACCCTAGTGTGTTGCCTGCTGACTTCTGTTGTCAGTGGCTTCCAAACTCTGACACAAGTCCCATCAACACAAGTCAGACAAGTCCCTCAGGCTGCCCCCAGACAAGGCAGAATGGTGGATACATGGTCTACACTTTTGTTTCCTTCTCCTTGTATGAGGGTATTTCCTCTAGTTTATTTTGTACTGTGCCATGTAAGGGAAGGAGCATGAACAGGAATGGCAAGTGACATGAACTTTTCTATCCCTTTCACTGGAATACCTTCTTGATTTTACAGTGGCCTCGTTGCTCTAGCTTCTCAACTGGTCCCTAGAGTTCCCACAGAGGTATTCCGATCCATATTTATTAACTCAGTGTTTTTGTGTGAGTCAGGAGGGCCTGTAGCTTCCTACTCCACTGTCTTGCTGACATCATCCCTTCACCATTTATTTTGGTAAATCAAGTTTTATCGGAATACGGCCATATTCATTGATTCATCCAGGGTCTTTGGCTGTTTTTGTACTACAGTTACAGGGTTGTGCAGTTGTGACAGAAACTGTCTGTCCTGCAAAATTTAGATATCTGGCCACTCACGGAGAAAGTTGTCAGTGCTTGACAAATATGGTAGACTTCTCATCTCATCCAAAGTAAAAGCGCTAGTCTTTTCCATGCACCACAAAGCCTTCTAAAGTCTGGTTTATATTATGTTTCTGACCATATTATTTACTCTCCTCCAGTTTACTCTGTCCACCCTAAGCCACACAAGTATTCCTGTTGTTCCAGGCATATTCCTACCTCAGGCCCTTGGAACATGCTGTCCCACTTCCTGGGATGCCCTTTCCACAAATATCTGTGGCTAGCTAGCTCCAATGCCTTTAGATCTTTACTCAAAAGCCATTTTCTCAGTGACTAGCCACAAAATCTAAAATTTCAAGTCCCACTCTTGGTATTTTATGTCTTCTTCTCTGCTTTATTTTCCCCCCTCAATACTATTTATTTATTATCTTTCCCACTCTCTTTTTAAAAAGTTTTCTATCTCTCCCTCTAGAATGTAAAAAGGATGCTTACATATTTATTTTACTATGGTATTCCTAACAATAAAAAACACTGTTTGGTATATAGTAGATGCTACCAAAAATATTGAAGTAATGAACGAATTAATGTGAAAATCATCCATGTCATTAAAGCAGATGAAAAAAATTAGGTTACTTATTTACTATGTGCTTAATAAAAAGACATCTTACATAAAAAGAGGTTCACTACATATGGGAGCATGTGAAAGCCCAGGAAAAGCACAAATTTAATGTTAAGTTTTACTTCGTTTTGAAGTAAAGGTACTCATGTATCCTATTCACAATTTCAAATCCTGTAATCACAGCCCTATAAAATGGGGGAAATTTATTTGGGTTTCTCTTTTTATTTATCCAAAATTAAGAGCTTAACACAAATGGGTAAAATAAAATCTAACCAAGGGCTGTAATTTAATTATATTATATAATTTGGATATGATACCTCTTTTGTTTTCTGCACTTTCTAATGCTGTCTTTGGCATCTGAAATGGTCGGATTTGTTAGGATTTTTGAGAGTTTCAACAAAGCGATGAACATTCGATTCTTTTTTCTCAAAATATCACAGTGTTCACAGCTGAGCTCCAAGTCCACATCCTGTAATCCATTTACCTCAGATCTCAGAGGGCCAACTATGTTGTGTGTGGCTTCTCTTATAACCCAGCCATTAAACTTCAATAGGTTTTTCCATTCTTTTTTAATTATATGGTACAGGTTTAATTTCTTTTTAATTTTTTATGCACCTTGGATTCTGTAGGAACAGCGTCACTTCTAAGGTGTATCTATCCTCTCTTTTTATAAAGAGAACATATTTTTATAAAGGAGAAGAAGTATTCAAAATTACACTTGGCATTTGGAGCACAGCAAAAGGTAGCTGTGGTCCTGTTTTATTGTACAACAATCATGTAAACTCCAGCTGTCAAGTCGTCTGATCAGTTCTTCAATAGGAAAAAGGGGCTCAGCTAAATCCTGCCCACATGCTGATGTACACCCGCCTAATAAGTGTGTTTTTCCCTCTTTATGAATTTCATTTACAATTATGCTGGGACTTTCAAGGAATATCTTGAAAGAAAGACGTGACTAGAATTGCTGAGTAATTTTATTTTCTGTTTGCAGTGATGGGGGTGTGAAGAGAATACAATCTGTTTTAATTTATACTGAAGCAAAGTGATGAAACTCATCGGCTGCTCCCAGAGTAGTTTTCCAACTTAGTCCACAGAAGTCTTCCCTCTCTTTGAATGTCTGCAATAAAGATCTGTTGGAGACTGATCTTAATTCATCGACAGAGGATAGCAGACAAATAAACCTAGAGGATGAGAGCTTTGGGAATTATTACTAAAGAAATTCTCATTAAGTGAAAAACAGAAACATAGAGTTCAAATCATTTGCTCAGGATTCTCCAGCATCTGCTGTTTTTTCCCCACAAAGCGAGCATCAGAAGCCAGTTCTTGAAAATTCCGATTCAGGTCCAGCTCTTTGGATTCTACACACACACACACACACACACGACAAAAATACTTTTATCATGGGAGTGAGAAATGAACTGGAAAAGAAAGTATTGCTGCTTCTGCTGCTACTATTACTGTTGTTATTATTATTAAGGGATAAATATTCTGGAGGCAAAAATCTTCATATCCCCCCAAATTGAGAACATCTTCAGATAAAAGACCCAAGTCTTTTTCACTTCTGTATATGCAGAGGCTGCCATATCTGACCCATAGTAGGTGGTGAGTACATGTGAATGGATGATGGATTTTTAAAATCATTACAAACTTAGGAAATATAGCCAAATTCAGATTCAGTAGGGGTGTTTTACTTTTTTCCTCATCATGCATTTGTCTTCCTAATTTATCACAAAACATTTTCTATGGATTTTACAGGTTCTAACCCAACTAAGCTGTTGCCTGGGCTCAGATTATGAGCATTTTCATCATTAATGTTGTCATGCAATTATTTTACCGATATTCATTAAGCTGGGCTCAGCAAGAGAGTGAAGCAAGCTTTTCACTTATTAATTATTCTTAAAGGAAGTGGGGTGATATTTATGTAGGAGCCAAAGCCACATACATACAGCCTATCAATAAAGAAATCCATGTCAGTATAAGAGATTACTACAGGTAGACATAAATAAGCAATTGGAAAGACACTTAATATATTATTTGGACAATTCTTTTCAAAGAATTCATCAAATTATCCACCTATTTAAAAGGCAGTATTATTTAGTTTCATTTGGCTAAAATAATTTTAGAATATGAAATCTGACTAAAGCAGTAAGGCTGACTCCACAAAAAAAATTCATCTTGTTATTTTTCATTTAGACTACAAAGGTTTGGATGCAATACTCTTATTCCCAGATATGCCATACCTGTTTTTAAAGTTTCTTATGAAATTGCCTTTTGGAATTCCTAGAACTCTGCAGTTAACATAATCTAAACATAAGAGGTTGTCTCAATAACTAATTGCTAAGAGCAAGTAACTCACATTTTTATACTGAGTTTCATATTTTTACTTATGTTTTATCAATAGCCATCTGGACTATGAGATTTTAAAATAGTGCTCTCTGAGATACCCCTAGGATATGGGAACTGTGAAATCAACACACAAATTAGTTACTCCTGCATGATTTCCAGATTGTGTCATAATTAAATCCTCATTACCAGGGCCTTTGTTTCATAATGTATTGAGTTCACCACTGTATGAAACATGTCATGTCATGTAAAAGCAGCCATAAGGTAAGCTGTGTTATGGCAGATAAAATCCCACAGAGATGGCCTCATCTTTGGGTCTTGATTTAAAATAGGCTGAATAAAACCCAAGAGTATTCATCTAAAAAGAATAAATAGCTTTTTAAATATTAAAACTTTATGGATCCCCATCATCATTCAACAATGATTTTTTTCCAGTATTTTGATCATGCTAATATTTATAGACATTTAAACATTATGCCAATTGTAAACTGTATCAAATCGCATACATCAGTCCTAGGATAGTAAGCAGAAATGTCTCCAACATGATCCCAAGAACTTAAAAACCACTGAGAAGAAACACATAAACCTCACAGATTTGTAAAACAAAGGAATTTCTGCCTAGAATAGTTTTCAGTTATTTAATTTCTGAAACACGATTGATTCAATTAAAAGAAAAATTATTTTGTTTCCAGTAGAATGGTACTGATAATGGTTTGAAAGTACAAAAATTAGTTCAGAATCCCCTCTCACAGACGACTGATTAAAATTTATTTTACAGTATTTATAGAGGTTTAGGTTCTTGAGAGAAGGCCAGCTTAATTTAAAGAAAACTTGCTGATACATATTAGATAGCCAAGGATTCATAGATTTAATAAAGATATGATATGCAGACTTCCAATTTGGAAAAATTAAATTGAAGACAAAGGACTACCTTAAGTATAGATATGATTAAGCTCAGATATAAGGATTTATATGCCAAAATGCCTAGTGTATTACAGTTGAGTCTATCTCTGTCTGCATTAAAACCTTATAATAAGCCTTCCTCAGATTTATTTTGAGTTTGTTTTTTGTAAAAACTATAGACAGTAAATAAACTGAGAAGAATAAGAACTAAAGAAACAGCAGCAGCCATTACAACAACAGCAAAACATTGGTACCACTCCCCTCGATGAAGAGTAAAATGCCCAGAGATGGGAGTTAGGCACAGTGACTCTATTTGAAGCTCTTTCTTTGGCAATGTATTTCAGAGACATCTTTTGGGTGTTTTTATACCTGTGAAAAGAAGGGAGGAATGAGTTAAAAAAAAGTGGCTGAGAAAGTAGAACATAAAAAATAGGCAGAATAATCAAAAACGACCCACTTAAAAAATGGTAAAAATGGAAAAATAATACACATGTACATTGTATATTTTCTATTTGTCTGAGTGTTTTAGGATTTATTTTGGGTTGAGTTTAGATCAAGTAAATATTAAGCAAACTTTGAGACTGGTCTTAAGGCAGCACTTTTTCAAATCTGCTGTTGATTAATCCATGTGCAAAATTCAAATAAAAATTATTTTCAGTGAAAATTGGTTCTACTACAGCAAACAATTAGTGGCTGCTTTTGCCAGAAGAAGCAAGTGTGGATTCTAACACTGCACAAATACCTTTCTACATCCCAGGTGGTATTTGCTTAATTCATTTATCACCTTCATTAGAACCATACCTTGTCTCACAGGGTAATGTCAAAACTTGAATGTGTCTTGTTCTACTATCCCTCACATATTCACAAAGGCAAGGTGTTGACATAAATAATTAAGAACTGATTGAACATAATTAATAACAATTGTTGTATGACTCTTCTCAATTAATATCTTAAATCTTTCATCAACTTTAAAAAAATATGTAAAGAAATAGTAAAATAAACTGATTTGACTTTTTATCTTTCCATTGCTTGAAATCCGACAGATGAATAAAGGCATAAAAATCCAAAGGTGTGCAATGGGGAGACAGGAAGAAAGGGCAGTAAGTAAACAAGGTAGCACATGTATCAATAAGCCTTGCACATGTATAGATAAGGTTGCATGTGTATAGATAAGGCCAGCGGTGTGAGTAATCCACACTAAAAAAAAAAACACTGGCTATGAGAATCACCCTTCTCATGGAAAGTTTTACATAGGCCAAAAACTATAACATTCTGACCAAGAGAGAAATAATTTTTTAAAAAGCTAAGAAGGAAAAGACTGATGATATTTTTTGGTAGGATGTCAAGTAGTTCTACCAAGAGATGCTTTGAGGACTTACGAAAAAACTCATTAAATATCAGGTATAATGTTTTTACTTCTTGAAGACATTTACATTTAAGGATGAATAGTATCTGGAAAACAAATGTGGGTTCTTCCCAACCCAACATATTTAGATAATTCATTAAAAGATTAAATCAATAATTTAACTTTCTTACTTTAAAAAAGGGCCTGATTAAGTAAAACTTTTTACAATTTTAATTCAAATTGTTTTAAAAACTCATTTTTTAAACCATTTTTTATAATGTTTACTAACGCAGAAAAAAATGTATGAGTATGACACTATTGCATCATGTTTACCACTCATCATTAAGTGAACTTGCATCTAGGTTTAGTATGGCTTTCCAAATTATTATTATAAAAATTACCTTAGGCATATATTGTTCACTTTGAGAAACTTAAAGAGTTAAGAATTGACTTTGGAAATAGATATGTAATGGAAACCAAGATTAAGTAGTCACAGGAATTTCACAAAGTGAAGGGGGAAAAAGTGGAGGAAAAAAGTGAAATATTAAATTTATTTCCCCTAAGACTCTATTAGAAAAACAAAGTGTTCTTTTGCATAGATTATTTGCAATTTAAAAGAGGACTACAAAGAAAAGATGATGCTTTCCCAAAAGAAATGAATTGCTAAAGGTAGAAGTGCAGATATCCATATAAGGACATTTCACTCTGGCTCAGGCCACCTGTACACAGATGTGAACCTAGTTAGATCTCCATGCTTAGAATAGAATGGAATGCGAATAAAATTCTCGCTGGTTTGTTTAACTGCAGGCAGACTATCTGGCCTTCCTGTGGATGCACTAAATAAGCACTGAATCAAACCAACAAATTTTTCTTTTGTTACCAGGCTGCTAAGCTGTAACACTCTTGCTTTCAAGGTGCCCACTATTGTGCTGCTTATTTATTCTGATGCATATTTCTTGTCTCACACATACCCACTTTGTAAACATTTCTGCCTTTTTTTTTTGACAAGATCTGGCTCTATCGCCCAAGCTCGTGTACAGGATTGCAGTGGTGTGATCTCGGCTCACTGCAACCTTCACCTCCTGGGTTCAAGTCATTCTCCCACCTCAGCCTCCTGAGTAGCTGGGACTACAGGCATGCACCACCACACCCAGCTAATATATATTTTTTGTATATGTTATAGAAATGGGGTTTCATCACATTGTCCAGGCTGGTCTTGAACTTGTGAGCTCAAGTGATCCCTGGCCATGGCCTCCCAAAGTGTAGGGATTAAAGGCATAAGCTACTGTGCCAGGCCTCTGGCTTTCTTTTCAAGAAAATTCTGATTGTTTAAGAAAAATGTAGCTAGAATTTATTTATCCTACCATCTGAGACAAATTTACCTCTACTTTTTATTTGTCATTAATTAAAATGCTACATTCCAAAAAGTGATGAACTACACAGCGTTAAGCACTCACACTTGAAAGTCACATGGACATGAAATACTATCCTGGCTGGGCATGGTGGCTCACGCTCATATTCTCAACACTTTGGGAGGCAAGGGTGGAAGGATGCCTTGAAGCCAGGAGTTCACGACCAGCCTGGGCAACAAAGCAAGATCTTTATTTCTCTAAAAAAGAAAAATTAATTTGAAAAAAAATAGTCACGCACAGTGGCATTTGCCTGTAGTCTCAGCTACTTCAGATGCTGAGGTGGGAGGATCCCTTGAACCAAGGAATTCAGAGGCTGCAGTGAGCTATGATAACACCAGCCTGGGTGAAAAAAAAAAAACAAGCAAAGAAGAAGAAAAAGAAATCTTCTCCTCACCTCACATTGATTCCAATAGTGATATGGTTTGGCTCTGTGTCCCCACCCAAATCTCATCTTGTAGCTCCTGTAATTCCCATGTGTTGTGGGAGGGGGCCCAGTGGGAGATGATTGAATCGTGGGGGCGGGTCTTTCCCATGCTGTTCTCATGATAGTGAGTGTGTCTCAGGAGATCTGATGGTTTTTAAAAACAGGGTTTGCATGCACAAGCTCTTTTTTTTTGCCTGCCACCATCCACATAAGATGTGACTTGCTCCTCCTTGCCTTCCACCATGTTTATGAGGCCTCCCCAGCCATGTGGAACTGTAAGTCCAATTAAACCTCTTTCCCTGGTAAATTGCCTGGTCTCCAGTATGTCTTTATCAGCAGTGTGAAAACAGACAAATACAATTGGTCACCTTGGACAATTTACTGAATTCCTCAGAATCTCAGTTTATAGGGTTGTTCTGAGTATTGAATTAAATTATCCAAAACACTCAGCCCTCAGTCCTTTTTTGGAACATTGTGAGTTAACATGAAATGTTAACTATTATTGTTATTAAAAAATAATGAAGGAAATACCTAAATAAGTGCATTAAGCAAAGAACAAATTTAAAATACCAGCCACATAGCACAATATAGCTCAGGGATCCAAAAACTAAATTTGTGGGCCAATCTGGTCCATTGCCTATTTTTGTAAATTTCTTTTAATGTACTGTCTATGGCTACTTTTGCACTATAGTGACAGAGTTGAGTGGTTGTAACAGACACTCTATGACCCTACAAAGGCAAAAATATTTACTGTTTGGCCTCTTATAGGAAAAATTTGCTGACATATGGCATCATTTATTACCAACCATCACAGTCAAAACCATCCAAATCATAAGTCATGAACATTGGTTGCACCAGAGCTATTCTTTTGTACATCTTAACCCCCCTCATTTTTTACTCTGAATTTATTTCTCAATATTTGAAGCCCTGAATATGGCCAATAAATAGCATAACTTTATTTGTGGTATGAACCAATTGATAGATGAAAAAGAAAGCAGATTCTCAAATATCATCATTACTATTAGTAGTAATAATGTTGATATTAGGAGAAATGAATTATATTTGTTTGGAAGTAGACTTTCTAATACTAACAACCAAAATTAGACAGATGTACCTCTGTCACAAACAGCTGGACTAGGGCAAATTTCCTGTTATAGGGTAGAGATGTCCAGTCAAATTTAATCATGGTGTACAAGAGAAGAACTTGTGCTCTAGGTAGGCATCCTGACTCCCAAGAACGAAGGAGAAGGAGAAGAAGATAGGAAAAAGCTCATGCACACCTACCAAGTCCCTATCCTAAACTTTCCAATAAGGCAACTGACTTCACCAATATGAAATGAAGTAAAGGGCTAGAGGATAGAAAATTTACACTAGTTGAGTTACATCTACATGAAAACACATGCATCTGAAGTTGGGAAGAAACAATTCTAACAATAAATATGACAAAATCATTGTAAAACCTTAAAAAGGGACCCAAAGTAATTACTACACTTTAAAATATTTTCAGAAAAAAGTTATTTCCAGAGGTCAATAAGGATGAGCAAATAAAACTTACGTTACCACATAAAAATTAGGTGTGTTGGAAAATGACACCACATGCCAATCTGTCACTCAAAGTGTATAATTTATTATTGTGGATTACTAAATCATACTCAAAATTTAGCCAAATATTAAAGATATCCTTAATACTTAATGTTCTTAATATTCTTAATATCTGATATATATGCTAAATATTCAGAATTAAACTGGACTATTTACCTTTTTATTTCTTACTGATTGAATTGCTTACCCTTCCAATTAAGAATAATGACTCAATGAGGGACAGAACAAAATGGTGAAGTAGTACTCCCAGTGATTATCCGTCTGAAAAAAACACCAAATCAAACAACTATCCACTCATGAAAATACCTTCATAAGAACTAACGAAACCAGGTGGCAGCTCACAGTACCTAGTTGTAGCACAGTAATAAGAAAAGACACATCGAAGAGGGTAGAAAGGATGGTTTTGTATTACTCACATCACATGTGCCTAATCCCCAGGTAGCAAAGCATGGAGAAAGATATTGTCCAATTTGGGGGAAAGAGAGAGAAGTGTGCACAGAATGTTAAGCCCCAACACCAGGCTCACCACAGTAAAACACACAACTGGGGAGACCCTCAGAGCATAACAGTCCAGGCCAGTACTCATGGACTGAACCTCTAGACCCACCCTAGCATAAGTGGACCATACAGCCCCAGGCTTCAGGCTTGCATGCCGAACTCTTCCATGCATCACAAATAAGTCCAGTCACTGACCCTGGGGTTCTGGACATCCCTCAAGGGCAGACAGTCCTTAGTGGCCATGGGGTTCTGAAGTGTCACTAAGCTGCTCTAGCCACATCTGTCTTAGCCTTCTGGACCACCCTAGCACTGCACCAGCCTTAGTGGGCCCCAGACTTCTAGCAACACTGTTATGGCCACAGCTTTCCAAGGTTTCTGGCACACCCCAGCACTGTGCCTGCTGCAGAGGTTTCCCAGACAAAACCAGTCTGCAAAGAATTGAATAAATACCTACTACTTCAGATGCACAGACACTGATGCATGATCACAAGGATCGAAAAAATCAGGGAAACATAACATCACCAAAATGGACAAAACAATGAGCTAGTGACTAACTCTAAAGAAACAGACATGTATGAACCATCTGAAAAGATTTTAAAGTAACTGTTTTAAGAAACCTCAGACTACTTTAATAAAATACAGAAAAAATTCAATAAAATGAGGAAAATGATAAATGGGCAGGAAGAAAAATTTAGTAGAGAGATTGAAATAATTGACAAAAAAAGAAGCACTGGAGCTGGAATAAACAAAATTTTAAAATTCAACTCAGAGAGGTGGAACAAATGGCCAAACAGAAGTCTCCACCAGTCATCCTCTCCCCCGCAAAAACAACAGTTTAACAATATCCTCAGAAGAACCAAAAATCAGGTGGGCACCCACATACCTGATTTTAATTTCATACGGCTGAAAAAGGCACAGAAGAGGGGGAAAGACAGTCTTGAATTGCCAATACTTCTCCTCCCCATCCCCCACAGCAGCCACATGGTGCAGAGAGAGAATCTGCACACTTGAGAGAGGGAGAGCACAGGGACTGGGAAACGTGTTGAACTCAGTGCTGCCCTGTCACAGCAGAAAGCAAAACTAGGTTGAACTCAGCTGAAGCCTGCCCATGGAGGAAGTATTGAAACCAGCTCCAATCAGAGGAGAATTGCCCATCCCAGAGGTCAGAATTTGAGTTCCTGCAAGCCCTACACCACAAGCTAAAGTGCTCTTGGGACCTAAAGAAACTTGAAAGAGAGTCTAGGTCACAAGGACTGCAACTCCCAGGCAAGTCCTACTACCGAACTGGGCTCACAGTGGACTTCCAGGGCAGCCAAGTGAGTGCTTGCACCCCTTCTCCTCAACCTCAGGATGTAGTTTCTTGCTCCAGAAGAGACCCCTTCCTTTTACTTGAGGGGAGGAGAGGGAAGAGTCAAGAGGACTTAGTCTGGCATCTTGGATACCAGCTCAGCCACAACAGGATGGGACACTAGTCAGAGTTGTGAGGTCCAAGCTCCCAGATGATATTTCTAAACACATCTTGGGACAGAAAGAAACAGGCTGCCTTGAAGCTAAGGACCCATTCCCAGCAAGACCCATCACCTGCTGACTAAAAAGGTCTTGGACCCTGAATAATAGCCAACAATATCCAGTAGTACACCACAAGCCTTAGGTGAGACTCTGAGACTAACTGGCTTCAGGTGGGACTCAGCATATTCTTAACTGTGGTGGCTATGGGGAGAGGTTCCCTCTGCTTGAGAAAAGCAGAGGCAAATGTAAATTAATTAAAGCCTTGCACCGTAGGTACCACTTCAGCTATGGGGAGGGTAGAGCTTTAAACAAGTTCTTTTTCCAATTCTAGGCCTTGGCTCTTGGATGGCATTTCTGGATCTTCCCTGGGCCATGGAGAAGCCCATTGCCCTAAAGGGTGAGTCCCAGGCCAGGCAACTTTCATCACAAGCTGACCAAAGAGTCTTTGGGCCTTAAGGAAATATTGGCAGTAGCCTCACAGTACTCCCTATAGGCCTGTGGTGCTGACGGCCATGGGCTGAGGCTTCTCTGTCTATGGAATGGGGTGCAGGGGAGTGGAGGAAGAATAGGAAGGACTACCTCTTGTGGTTTGAATGCCAGCTTAGCCTCAATATCGTAGAACACCAGGTAGATGTCTAAGGCTTTTGACTCTATTATCTGGCTCTTGGACAGCATATCTGGCTCTCCCAGGACCTAGGAGAGCTCAGCACCCTGAAGGAGAGGACATAAGGCTGGCTGTTTTCACCACCTACTGATTATAGAGCCCTAGGGCCTTCAGGGAACATAGGTGGTAGCCAGGTAGTGGTTACAGCAGACCTTGGGAGAGACCCACTGCTGTGGTGGCTTCAGGTCTGACCCAATAGAATCCCAGTGATGGTGTACACAGAAGTACTCATGCCACCCAACCCTTAGCTGCAAGCAGTTCAGAACAGAGAGAGAGGGAGAGAGAGAGACACTCCATTTGTGTGAGGGAAAGTCAGGGAAGAGAACAAGAGTGTCTGCCTCATAATCCAGAGAATTCTTCCAGATATTATCCAAGATCATCAAGGCAGTACTTTTGTGAGTCTGCAAGAACCACAGCATTACTGGGCTTTTGGGCCCCCTAATGCAGATATGGCTTAGGTCACAACACCCAAATCCTATTGATACCTGAAAAGCCTTCCCAAGAAGGAAGGGTACAAACAAGCCCAGACTACAAATATTACAATAAATACCTAATGCTTCAGTTCCTAGACACTGAAGAACATACGTAAGTATCAACACCAAATGGTAAAACAAGACCTCACCCAACAAACTAAATAAGGCATCAGGGCCCAATCTTGAAGAAACAGAGATATGTGATCTTTTAAATAGAGAATTCAAATAGCTGTTTTGAGGAAACTCAAAGAGATTCAAGATAATCATGCTGCTGTAAAGACACATGCACACGTATGTTTATTGCAGCACTATTCACAATAGCAAAGACTTGGAACTAACCCAAATGTCCAACAATGATAGACTGGATTAAGAAAATGTGGCACATATACACCATGGAATACTATGCAGCCATAAAAAATGATGAGTTCATGTCCTTTGTAGGGACATGGATGAAACTGGAAATCATCATTCTCAGTAAACTATCGCAAGGACAAAAAACCGAACACCGCATGTTTTCACTCATAGGTTGGAATTGAACAATGAGAACACATGGACACAGGAAGGGGAACATCACACTCTGGGGAGTGTTGTGGGGTGGGGGGAGGGGGGAGGGATAGCATTAGGAGATATACCTAATGTTAAATGATGAGTTAATGGGTGCAGCACACCAGCATGGCACACGTATACATATGTAACTAACCTGCACATTGTGCACATGTACCCTAAAACTTAAAGTATAATAACAATAAAAAAGAAAGAAAGAAAATTAGTATGTCAAAGAGATATCTGCACTCCCACGCTTATTGCAGAAGTATTCACAATAGCTAAGTTGTAAAATAAACCTAAGTGTTCACAGGCACACACACATACACACAGAGATTCTGGGTTATTATTTAGCCATAAAAAAAGAAGGAAATCCTATCATTTGCAGCAATATGGATGGAACTAGAAGTTATTATGTTAAGTGAAATAAGCCAGGCACATAGAGACAAATATCACATGTTCTCACTCATATGTGAGAGCTAAAAAAGTTGATCCCATGGATGTAAAAGGTAGAATGATGGTTACCAGAGGCTGGGAAGGATAAGGAGGAGGAGATGAAGAGAGATAGGTTAATGGGTACAAAAATGCAGTTAGAAAGATGAAATAAATTCTAGTGTTTGGTAGCACAGTGAGGTGACTGTAATAAACAATAACTTACTGCATATTTCAAATTAGCTAGAAGAGGAGATTTAGATATTTCTAACACAAAGAAATAATAAATGTTTGAGATGATGGGTATCCTAATTACCCTGATTACGTTATTACCATTGTACAAATGTATCAAAATATCACATGTACCCCATAAACATGTCCAATTATTAGGTATCAATAAAAAAAAGTCTGGGTTCTGGAAAAAAAAAGATAACACAGAGAAGGAATTCAGAATTCTATCAGATAAACTGAACAAAGAGATTGAAATAATTGAAATGAATCCAGCAAAAATTCTGAAGTTAATAAAAGCAATAAACATACTAAAGAATATAACAGAATCTTTTAACAGCAGACTTGATCAAGCAGAAAAATTAGTGAGCTTGAAGACAGATACTTGCAAATATGCAGTCAGAGGAGACAAGAGAAAAAAAATAAAAAGAATAAAGTAAACATACAGAATCTGAAAAACAGCCTCAAAAGGGCAAATCTAAGAGTTATTGGCCTTAAAGAGGAGGTAGAGAAAGAGAGAAGTGTAGAAAGTTTACTCAAATGGATAATAACAGAGAACTTCTCAAACCTAAAGAAATATATTAATATTAATACTCTAGTACAAGAAGGTTATTGAACACCAAACAGATCTAACCCAAATAAGAATACCTCAAGGTATTTAATAATCAAACTCCCAAAGATCAAGAATAAAGAAAGGACCAAAAAAGCAGCAAAGAAAAGAAACAAACAGCACACAATGGAGCTGCAATATGTTTGGCAGCAGACTTTTCAGCAGAAACCTTACAGGAGAGGAGAGAGTCATGTGACAGACATACTTAAAAGTGCTAAAGGAAAAAACCTTTTACCCTAGAATAGTATATCCAGTGAAATTATCCCTCAAACATGAAGGAGAAATGAAGACTTACCAAGACAAGCAAAAGCTGGGGGATTTTATCAGTATCAGACCTGTCCTACAGGAAACGTTAAAGAGAATATTTCAATCCAAAAGAAAAAGGATGTTCATGAGCAATAAGAAATCATCTGAAGTTACAAAAACTCACTGGTACTAGTAATTACACAGAAAAACACAGAACATTATGAGTGTAACTGTTGTGTGTAAACTACTGTTTTTGTTTTTGTTTTTTTGAGACAGAGCCTCACTCTGGCACCCAGGCTGGAGTGCAGTAGTGCGATCTTGGCTCACTGTAACCTCCGCCTCCCTGGTTCAAGCAATTCTCGCTGCCTCAACCTCCCAAGTAGCTGGGATTACAGAAGTCCGCCACCATGCCTGGCTAATTTTTGTATTTTTAGTAGAGATGGGATTTTGCCATGTTGGCCAGGCTGGTCTCGAATTCCTGACCTCAGGTGATTTGCCCACCTTGGGCTCCCAAAGTGCTGGGATTACAGGCATAAGCCACTGAGCCTGGACATGTAACTACTCTTAAGTAGAAAGATTAAATGATGAACCAACCAAAAATAATATCTACAACAACTTTTCAAGACATAGTACAAGGAGATATAAATGGAAACAACAAAAAGTTTAAGAGTGGAGGAATAAAAAGTGCAGAATTTTTACTAGTTGTCTGTCTCATTGTTTATTTGTTTATGCAAACAGTTTTAAGTTGTTATCAGCTTAAAATAATGGGTTATAAGATAGTATGTAGTGGGTAACTTCAAATCAAAATCATACAACGGAGACTCAAAATATAAAAAGCAAGAAACTAAATTATATCACCAGAGAAAATTACCTTCACTAACAGGAAGACAGGAGGAAAGGAAAGAAGAAAGAAAAGACTACAAAATAACCAGAAAACAAATAACAAAATGGCAGGAGTAAGTCCTTACTTACCAATAATAACATTGAATGTAAATGATCCACACTCTTCAATCAAAAGACATAGAGTGGTTGAAAGGATTAAAAAAACAAGACCCATTGATCTGTTGCCTACAGGAAGCATTCTTCACCTATAAAGACACACATAGGCTGAAAATAAAGCGATAGAAAAATATATTCCATATCAGTGGAAACCAAAAGAAAGCAAGAGTAGCTATATTTATATCAGACAAAATAGATTTCAAGACAAAAACTGTAAGAAGAGACAAAGAAGGTCACTACATAATGATAAAGGGATCAATTCAGCAAGAGGATATAATAATTGTAAATATATATGCACCCAACACTGGAGCACTCAGATATATAAAGCAAATATTATTAGAGCTAAAGAGAGAGATAGACCTCAATACGGTAATAGCAGGAGACTTCAACACCTCATTTTCAGCATTGGACAGATCTTCCAGACAGAAAATCAACAAAGAAATATTGGATTTAATCTGCAGTATAAACCAATTGGATCTAATATATAATTACAGAACATTTCATCCAAGAGCTAAAAAATACACATTCTTTTCCTCAGCACATGGATCTCTCTGAAGGATTGATCATAGCTTAGATCACAAAACAAGTCTTCAAACATTCAAAAAAAGTGGAAATAATATCAAGTAGCTTCTCTGACCACAATGGAATAAAACTAGGAATCAATAACACAGAGAATTTTGAAAACTATACAAATGCATGGATTAAAAAATATGCTTCTAAATGACCAGTGGGTCAATGAAGAAATTAAGAGGAAATCTGGCTGGGCGTGGTGGCTCATGCCTGTAATCCCAGCACTTTGGGTGGCCAAGGCAGGAGGATCACGAGGTCAGGAGATCGAGACCATCCTGGCCAACATGGTGAAACCCTGTCTCTACTCAAACACAAAAAATTAGCTGGGTGTGGTGGTGCGCTCCTGTAGTCACAGCTACTCTGAAGGCTGAGGCAGAGGAACCACTTGAACCCAGGGAGGCGGAGATTGCAGTGAGCCGAGATTGCGCCACTGCACTCCAGCTTGGCAACAGAGTGAGACTCGAAAGAAGGAAAGAAAGGAAGAAAGGAAGGAAGGAAGGAAGGAAGGAGAAATTAAGAGAAAAAATAAAAATTTCTTGAAAAAAAAAAAAAAGAATATGGAACAGAACATACCCAAACCAATGGGATACAGCAAAAGCAGTACAAGAAAGAAGTTTATAGCTATAAGTGCCTACATCAAAAAAGAAGAAAAATTTCAAATAAATAACATAATGTTGCATCTGAAAGAACTAGAAAAGCAAAGGCAAACCAAACCCAAAATAGATAGATGAAAAGAAATAATAGAGATAAGAGCAGAAATCAATAAATTTGAAATGAATAAAACAATACAAAAGATAAACACACACAAAGTTGGACTTTTGAAAAGATAAAAAATGACAAATCATTAGCCAGATTAAGAAAAAAAGACTTAAATAAATAAAATCAAAGACGAAAAAGGAGATATTACAATGACACTGCAGAAATTCACAGGATTAGTAGCTACCATGAGCAACTATATGCCAATAAACTGGAAAATCTGGGAGAAATGAACAAATTCCTAGCCACATAAAACCTACCAATATTGAACCATTAGGAAATGAAAAACATGAACAGACCAGTAACAAGTGACAAGATAAAAACCATAATAAAATGTCTCTCAGTAAAAGAAAGCCTGTAACCCAATGGTTTAACTGCTGAATATTATCAAATACTTAAAGAATAATTAACAACAATCCCACTCAAACTATTCCAAAAAGTAGAGGAAGAGGAATAACTTCCAAACTTATACTATGAAGCCAGTATTACTCTCATACAAAAACCAGAAAGAGACACATTTAAAAAAGGAGAAAACTATAGGCCAATATCATTGATGAATATTTATGTAAAACTCCTCAAGAAAATACTAGTAAACTGAATTCAACAACAAATTAAGATCATTCATCATGACCCAGCGGGATTTACCACAGAGGTGAAAGAATGCTTCAACATGTACAAATCAATTAATGTGATACATTAGGTCAACAGAATGAAGGACAAAAGTCATATGATTATTTCAATTGATGCTGAAAATGCATTTGATAAAATTCAACATCCCTTCATGAAAAAACCTCAAAAACTGGGTATATGTGTGCAGAATAAACATACCTCAGCATAACAAAAGCCAGATATGACAGACCCATAGCTAGTATCATACTGAATGGGGAAAATCTAAAAGCCTTTTTGCTGATTGGAAACATGACAAGGATGCCCACTTTCACCACTATTATTCAACATAGTACTGGAAGTCCTAGCTAGAGCAATCAGAAAAGAGAAAGAAATAAAGAGCATCTGAATTGGAGGGAAATAAGTCAAATTATATTGTTCGCAGATGTTATACTTTTATATTTGGAAAAACCTGAGGACTCCATCAAAACACTATTAGAACTGATAAATTCAGAAAAGTTGCAGTATACAAAATCGTCCTACAAAAAACAGTAGCATTTTTATATGCCAATAGCAGACAATTTGAAAAAGCAATCAAGAAATAATCCCATTTACAATAGCTACAAATAAAATTAAATACTAAGGAATTAACTTAACCAAAGAAGTGAAAGATCTCTACAATAAAAACTACAAAACATTAATGAAAGAAATTGCAGAAGATGTAAAAAATGGAAAGATATTGCATGTTTATGGATTGGAAGAATAAATATTGTGAAAATGCCCATACTACCCACAGCAATCTACAGATTCAGTGCAATTCCTATCAAAATACCAATGTCATTCTTCACAGAAATAGAAAAAAATCCTAAAATACATGTAGAATGACAGAAGACCCAAATAGCCAAAGTCATCCTAAGCACAAAACAAAATCAAAAACAGAAACATCCACCGAAACTGGATGAATCACATTACCTGACTTCAAATTTTACTACAGAGCTATAGTATCCAAAATGGCATTGTGCTGTCATAAAAATAGATACATAGACCAATGAAAGAGAACCCAGAAATAAATCCACATACCTGTAGTAAAATTTTTTCAAAGGTGCAAAGAACATACAATGGGAATAAATGTTTCTTCAGTAAATGATGCTTGGAAAACTAGGTATCTATATGCAGAAGAATGAAACTAGACCCCTATCTCTCACCATTTACAAAAATGAAATCAAAAGGGATTAAAGACTTGAATATAAGACCTTGAATATAAGACCTCAAACTGTGAAACTACTACAAGAAAACAGTAATGAAACTCTTCCAGACATTGGACTAGGCAAAGATTTGAGCAATACCTCGCAAGCAGAGGCAACCAAGGAAAAGAAATGGACAAATGGGATCACATCTAGTTAAGAAGCTTCTGTGCAAAAAGGGAACAACCAAAAAAGTGAAGAGACAACCCACAGAATGAGAAAAATATTTGCAAACTATCCATCTGACAAAGGATTAATAACTGGAATATACAAGGAGCTCAAACAACGCTATAGGAAAAAAAATCTAACAATGTAATTTAAAAATAGGCAAAAGATTTGAATAGCTGTTTCTCAAAAGAATACATATAAATGGCAAACAGGCATATGAAAAGGTGCTCAACATCATTGATTATCAGAGAAATGCAAATCAAAATTGTGAGATATTACCTTACCCCAGTTAAAATGGCTTTTATCCAAAGGACAGGCACTAACAAATGCTAGTGGGCATTTGAAGAAAAGGGAACCCAAGTACACTGTTGGTAGGGATGTAAATTAGTACAACCATTATGGAGAACAATTTGGAGGTTCTGCAAAAAAATCTAAAAATAGAGGCTACCATATGATCAGCAAGCTCACTCCTAGGTATATACCCCCAATAAAGGAAATCAGTATATGGAGGAGATATCTGCACTCCCATGTTTATTGCAGGACTATTTACAATAGCCAAGATTTAGAAGCAACCTAACCTAAGTGTCCATCAGATGAATGGATAAATAAAATCTGGTACATATACACAAAGAGTATTACTTAGTCATAAAAAATGAGATTGTGTCATTTGCAGCAACATATATGCAACTGAAGCTCATTATATTAATTGAAATAAGCCAGGCACTGAAAGACAAACTTCATATATCCTCACTTATTTGTGGGGGCTAAAAAATTAAACAATTGAACTCATGGAGATAGACAGTAGAAGGATGGTTACCAGAGGATGGGAATGAGAATCAGGTGGGTGGGTGGAGATGGCTAATGGGTACAAAAAAAAATAGTTAGAAAGAATGAATAAGACCTAGTATTTGCTAGAACAACAGGGTAACTATAGTGAAAAATAATTTTGTAGTGCATTTAAAAATAACCAAAAGTGTATAATTGGGTTGTTTTTAACACAAAGGATAAATGCTTCAGGTGAGGGATACCCCACTTACCCTCATGTGATTATTATTCATTGCATGGCAGTATAAAATATCCCATGTAATCCATAAAGATATATACCTACTATGTACCCACAAAAATTATGGCACACCCTCAAAAGGGCAAAGTTTCATTTATAGGAGTTGAAAAAGGAGGAGAGAAAAATAAAGGAATCAAAAGCTTATTTAAAAATAGTAACAGAAAACTTTCTAAACTTGGTGAAAGATATAAACATGTGAATAGCAGAAGTCTTGCTAACTGCATACTTCTTGGCAGAAACCTTATAGACCAAAGAGAGTGAGATGATATGGTCAAGGTGCTGAAGGAGAAAAAAATGTGCAACCAAATATTCTATACCCAGCAAAACTGTCATTCAAAATTGTAGAGATAAAGACTTTCTCACACAAACAAAAGGAGAGGGTGTTCATCACCACCAGACCTGTTTTGTAAGAAATGCTAAAGGGAGTCCTTCATGCTAAAAGAAAAAACCCTAATGAGTTACATAAAAAACTTCTGAATGTACAAAACTTACTGGTAAAAGTAAATACACAGTCAAATTCAGAATACTCTAATACTGTAACAGTGATATATAAATTATGTCTATCTTTAGTTTAAAAGTTGAAAGATAAAACGATTAAAAATAATAACTAAAATAACTTATTAATGCATATGCAATGTAAGAACATGTAAATTGTGACATCAAAAACTTTAAATGTTGGGGGAGAATGGAGTGGAAGTACAGCATTTTTTGGGTCAAAGTTAAGTTGTTATGAGTTTAAAAGAAAGTATCATAACTGTAAAATGTTTTTTGTAAACCTAATTATAACCATAAAGCAAAAAACAGTAGATTCCCCAAAACTAAAAAGGAATGTATCAAAACATAACGTTAGAAAAAAATCACTTAGCTACAAAACAAGACAGTTAGGAAAAAAGGAACAAAGGATCTATTTTACAAAACAAGAAAACAGGTAACAAATTGTCAGTCATATGCCCTTACCTATTCAAGCCAACATAGTGAAACCCCTTCTCTACTAAAAATACAAAAATTAGCTGGGCATGGTTGTGGGTGCCTGTAATCGCTGCTACTTGGGAGGCTGAGGCAGGAGAATCACCTGAACCTGGGAGGTGGAATTTGCAGTGAGCCAAGAGTGCGTCACTACACTCCAGTCTGGGTGACAGAGTGAGACTCCGTCTCAAAAAAAAAAATTAAATGTAAACAGATCAAATTATCCATTTACAATACACCCAGAGGCTTAATGGATTTTTTTAAAAAAAGATTCAACTGTATGCTGCCTATAAGAGACTCACTTCACTTGTAAGGACTTACACAGACTGAATGAATAGATAGAAAAATACATTCCATAAAAATGGAAACCAAAAGAGAGGAGGAAAAGTAGCATTTATATCACATTAGACAGACTTTAAGTCAAAACTTTAAAAAGAGACAAAGAAGATCATTATATAATAATAAAATGGTCAATCTAACTAGATAATATATATGACAGAGCTATAGTAATCAAAACAGCATGGTACTGTCATAAAAACAGACATATTGACCCACGGAACAAACTTGAGAGCTCAGAAATAAATCTTCACATTTAAAGCAGACTGATTTTCAACAGTCACCAATGAAGAAAGTCAAATCCCTTCAATAAATGACACTGGGAAAACAGGATATCCACATGCAGAATGAAATTAGACCCTATCATATGCAATATCTTACACCATATATAAAAATCAACTCAGAATACATTCAAAACTTAAAAACTGAAACTATGAAACTACTAGAAGAAAACATAAGGGGAAAGCTCCATGACATTGGTGTGGTAAATGATCTTTTGAATTTGACTCCAAAAGCACAGGCAATAGAAGAAAAAACAGACAAATAGGATTACATCAAACTAAAAAACTTTTGCACAGTAACGTTATCAATCAACAGAGTGAAGAGACAACCTACACAGTTGTATATACATACAACAGAATATGTTCAGCCATGAGCAATAAAGAAAGAAATTAATTCTATCATTTGTGACAACATGGATGAACCTGGAGGACATTTTTTTAAGTAAAATAAGCCAGAAACAGAAAGACAAACAGTGAGTCGTCTCATTCATATGTGAAATACGGAAAAGCTGATCTCACAGAAGTAAAGATTATAATGGTGGTCACCAGAGACTGGGGGGAGGTTGGAGGAGGCGATGGAGAAGGAGAAGATGAAAGAATACAAAATTTTAGTTAGAGAGGAGGGATAAGTTCAAGAGATCTATTGTATAACATGGTGACTAAAGTTAATCATATACTGCTTTCTTAAAAAATGCTGAGAATGGATGCAAAGTGTTTTCATTGCAAAAATGATAACTATGTGAGGTAATGCATAAATTAATTAGATAGATTTTATCATTCCACAATGCATATATATTTTGAACCATGTTGTACATAGCAGATACATATAATTTTAAACATCAATTTCAAAATTTTAATAACATAAAAAATAATGACTCAAGAGTTTTATTCATGTAAAAAAAGCATCTTTCTATTTTTAGTTTATTAGCAATTTTTAAAGTAGAAGTAGATATAAATTTTTATAAATTTTGAAATATTTTCTGTGGGTATGTAATTCATTTTGCTAATATTGAAACAGTCTTCCATTTCAAAAATACAATCTTACTAAACATAGCTTCTTATTACTATTAATATACTACTTTTGTTTTAACCTTTAAATATTTTTCCATCCTATTTATTTTAATTTCTTTTGAAGGAGTATTACCCATAAATTTTAATTGCACAATTTGCCTCTACATCTCCCCAAGTCTGTTATTTTTTCCCCATTTCTTAGTCTTTTCTCCATAATGGAAGATTCTCTATAGGTTAGTTTCTGAATTGCTGACTTTATTTTCCGCAAAGTCAATTGGCTTTGTAAATTGGCTCCTTCTAATGCATTTTAAATTTACATTTACTCCTATTTTATTTCAAACTATTCTTTCTTTATAACTATGAACTCTTTTAAAAATTATTTTTGACTTGTTTCTAACCCAGCTAATGTTATCACCATCTGTATTGTTACCATCTCGTCATTTATATATTTCCTAATAAAAATCATGTTTTCTTAAATTTAAATAAGAATTTAATTACTTTGCTTCTGCTTTTGAATCAGAAAATTTTATTTTTTATAATTTCAACAATCTTTGACCATGAGCTGGGCAGTCACCACAACCGTCAATGACTACGGGATTAAAATAATATTGTCCCAGTGAGGGTAATAATCCCCATCAGCATTCAGCCTTTACTCCTACAGGGAGGATGATTGTGAGTTCCAGGATCTTTCTAATATCTCAGTGAAAAACTATACCACTATACCACTCCCTCCAACAGGAAACTTTCAAATTGGCCCTCCAGTCTTTAATGTCCCATTAGTGTTATAAGTAGGAGAAAGTCCCCCAAAATGCTGATATTTCAATAATTTTCTTCTCCAGCTTCTAGACCAATTCAGGTTTTTCCTCATTTTCCACTGTCGAAGTTATTTCATGAAGAGTGGAATGGAAGATAAAATGGTGTGAATCAAACATAATGTCTTTTTTTTTTTTTTTTCCAGGAGACCTCTGGCCCACCGTTTATTTTTATTTACAGTCCCAGTAGAAGGGACCAGGGTCACAAGTGGGCCTGCATTATCTCCAAAACACCATCCAGGTCACCTTAAGGTATGAAGCCTCCCTTGGGTGTATCTGCCAACAAGCCAATCGCTGGTTTTGCTGGAAGGCTTCACCTTGATCATGACTCCCTGATGGTCATTAATAAAACCCTTTTGATTTCACAAGTTTCGCATTCGAATTTCACAAGACTTGTATTTCACCCATCTGCCACACGGGTTGACACTGAAAGGCACACACTGACACCTGTCCACCCGGGGAAATCAGGAGCTCTCTATCTTGGTGAGGGGGCGACGTGTAGGCCGGGAATTCTCTAACCAGAGCGTTTCTCTCCACTCACTCATCCTGCATGGAAGCCCGCCCGCCCCTGCATGCCCTGTGGGGTCCAGGCCCACATGCTCAGGAGCCCCTGAGAGGTGAATCTCCCTGGACCCATGTGGGAGGAAGGATGCCCCCACACATCACCACCCTCCGCGAAAAGCTCCTTGGTGACTCCTCTGTGCGTGCCTTCCCGTATCTCCTGGGTCTGGGACTGTGAGGAGTGGGCAGTTGACTCAGGTTCGCAACCCAGGCCTCCCACACGCCCCTCCCCGCCATCAGCACCCACGGCGAGGCTCATAATGTCTTCATAATGCAGGAAGCAGGGCTAGAACATCTTTTGTCTTTGGATAATTTGAATTTTCTCATCAAGAAAGCTTCAGTTTTCTTTACCTGGATTTCTGTCCCAAATATGAAATTGTCATGCTTGACTTTGGCCATGCCATTGTATCCTGCATACATTCCACCATTGTCTAAAGAGGACAGTGACTAAATGACCACTGTCCCCCAACTACCATAGAGCTGCCCACTCTGAGAAACTTGGAGCATCTTAAAGCAGATACCAATGCACCACTTTTTCCTATTACAGCTGTGTGTCTTCAGTTAGGCAAATGGGAATTGGGTTGGCAGTAAAGCTCCAAATGTTAGAGACAGAGCTTTCTTCCCTCACATGTTGTCCTTCCTATCTTTCAATTCCAACACCATCAGTTTGTGGGGCTTCCCATCATGGGAGCATTTCTGGAGCACTGAGATCCCTGCTGTTGTGGAGAGGAATTGAGCCCCATACACACAACCCAGAGAAGAGGCCTATGCAAAACTTTGCTTGCCACATTTTATCATTTACTGGCTGAGATTTAGATTCAACCAAATCACCAGCCACTGGAATAATTTATTATCCAACACCAAGGCAGAAACATGAGCCACAGGGGCCTCTGATCATGCCAGAGGGCAAGGAATGTTGCAGAGCCCTGGGAGGGCAGGGTCCTTTGTGGTCTCTGGAAACTTCTAGAATGATCTAATATATTCATGCAAGTCAAGTATATTTTCTATGATTATTCTGTATTCCTGAAGTTGCCACTAGTTTTGTAGCCAGTTTTTGTGGGTTTTTTTTTTTTGTTTTTTTGTTTTGAGACGGAGGGCAGTGGCGTGATCTCAGCTCACTGCAAAAGCTCTGCCTCCCGGGTTCACGCTATTCTCCTGCCTCAGCCTCCCGAATAGCTGGAACTACAGGTGCCCACCACCACGCCCAGCTAATTTTTTGTATTTTTAGTAGAGACGGGGTTTCACTCTGTTAGCCAGGATGGTCTTGATCTCCTGACCTCGAGATCCGCCCTCCTCGGCCTCCCAAAGTCCTGGGATTACAGGAATGAGCCACTGCGCCTGGCCTGTAGCCAGTTTTAAGAGTCAGAAAGAGTAGGGTTTGCAGTCACTTGTAATGGAGGCTCAAGTCAGCTGACAGCTTTCTCATCAGTAAAATAAGGATGATAAAATAAATCTTGCCAAACTTTCATGACCTTATTAGCAATTTATCTGAAGCTCCTCACATAATGCCCTGCCTTGGCAGGTGCTGAAATAAAAGGACTGTGTTTCCTCCGTCACCACCACTGTGCTTGCACTGCCACTGTTAATGAAACTAAACAAAACGATACTAATAATATAGGTCATACTTGAAAAAATACACGTAACCCTAAATGTTTGAACCGTGGAAGCAACTCCAAATGTATCAACAAGAGTACACTTGGTACATTTCAGATTACAAATGGGATCCGAAGTCAGCACTTAGCAAAGTGACAAAACCCAACAGCCCACTTGGATGACTGTGGTTAGAAGGATTGATGCACGTGTCTTACTTGTGTAATCACTTGGTGTGAGGTCTGTGATCTGAAACTGCCTTCTCTGAACCTTACCAGTTGAGCATTCCCCAAAGCAAAGGGGTTTGGTTTAATTCCAGCACAAGCAACTGAGAAATGGCCTCAGTATAAAGTCTCTGAAATGAATGTATTCAGATTAGTTTAGACTAATTTATAGGGAAATGGAGTGAACTGGATCTAGTCACTGTCCACAAGGCTAAAGGTTGATTCTCTGTTAGAGCTTATCCTAGGCAAAGATCAGGCTGATTTATATCCTGTCTCAAATGTATCTGTCTTATCAGTGGGTGATCCTGCTGCCCCAGGGTTCATGGAATGCAGACGTTGTACATAGACCAAAGGGAAGAATGAGGGTGCACTAAGCCAGAAAATCCAGTGTAAACAAGTTTTTAAGTTCTGTGAGCAATTACATGTAGGTAACATTGAAGAAAATATGTAAGACTTGTAGTATTTGACTGACAAGTACATAATTTCATGTTCTAAGCCTGCAGAAATATAGGTATTTTAGTATATTCTTATGAGTCTGTATCAGAGACTTAATATAATGTGTTACCATTTATATATGCTTCATTATAAGTCATTGTACTCTTTAACACATTATATTCCTATTGTTTGTACTTTAAAAATATTTAGCACTATTTTATTCTGTTTAAAGTATAATTTCTTAAATTCCTAAAATTTAACATTTGCAAAGTAATTTATGCATGTTATCTATTTATTTTGAACAGATAATCTTGTGAAATTTGTAGGACAGGTAGTTATTTTTTCTATGAACAGAAGAAGAAATAGGCTCTCAGCGGGCAAGCGAGTCATTTGTTCAAAGTCACCAGCTTGTGGTAGAGAAAGGGTCTAGAGATGATTGTCAGGACTCCCCATTCAGAAGACTTTCCACTCTACCCTATGCCTTCCCAGAGACTAGATTACCCAGAGTAAATTCTGGATATGCAGTCAGTTAATCTGCACTGAGGATGAAGTAGTTATCTGCTATATCGCTGAGTTTTATATTCCAATGCGGCAGCATTGCGAAAGAAAAGTCTTTAGTGGCGCTATTTCCCCAAGAATGACGTAAAATTCTCTTCTTCAAACACAGAAACACAATACTGTTTGAAAATATCCTGGGGGGTCAGTAAATGAACTGTAGATGTAGTCCCAAGGCTGACTTGACTCTCTGAGTCAGAGCTGTGGCTCGGAGCACCCAGGAACTGCCTTGGGTTTGCACACAGGAACCAACGCCCACCCTGTCCTAATGGGCATGGCGGGCCCAGCAAGCCCGTGAGCAAAGGAGGACCAGGACTGAGGGCAAAGGTACACATGCCCCATAGTCTTCTTGAGATGCAGCAACCACCTGCTGAGATATTTACTTAAAATGGTGTCCTTAGGAAGACCAGGTCCATTCATTCAGGCCTGATTCTAGGTGTCCTCTCTTGACCTCCAGGACAGACAGAGGCCAGAGCTTTACTCCTCATTCCAAAATCAAAATGCCCCTAATATGGATCTGTTATTTTGCATTGTGAATACCTCCCATGAAGCACCCTGACTCTGAGGCCACATTCCAACACCTCAGCGTCTTTGGTTACATTCCTTGGGGTGGGACTAGGGCTTCACATGCCACATATGATTCATACCAGAGTAGTATGTTTTCATTATCTGAAGCTGAACAGATTAATATACATTTATAAAACCCATTTGTTTCCTGCAAACTTGGCTCAAGGGGATCTTAATAATCCCTCTGGAAAGTGGCTGAAATGACCAACAGCAGCATCTGTGCATCAGGAAGCCAGGGAGCACAGCAGAGAAAAAGAAAGGAAGAAAGAAATGCCAGCAAGTGGACAGAGCTTTCTCTATTTTGGTGTAGGGGCTCTCTTTGAACAGCTGCTCAGTGTCACATTATTAACTAAACAAGTAGCCCTCACATGCTGTTTTGTGGAGCATAAGAACTGCTATACTCCAGGCAGACAGAATGCACTTAAAAATGGTGATGAAGCGTAATGTCAGATCTTGCTAATTTCCAGTGGCTTAATAGCTGAAGTAAGGAAATGATGAGACGTTTTCACAGACCCCTTCAAAAACCAGGATATGTAGGAAATTTTCACCAGAGTAGCGGGGGAGATGGGAATGAGGAGAATAAAAATGGGAGAAGATAAGCAGAAAATCATTTAAACCTCTCTCTGAAATTTCTAGATAATTTTTTGGACAAATTGAATCTGGTGAAGCATAGGAGAATCTGTAAGTTGGTAAAAATATCTCCTTAGTAATTGGAAGAAAAGATTGCTATACCTAATACTTAATATGTGTCATGATGACAGCCTCTAAATTTGAATGAAATACATGGTTTGATAAATAAGTTTTTTTCTGATTTGCGGGATAAATATTGTAACCCTGTGAAAAAGTAAATCGCCTTTAGTTCCATACTATATAAATCATCTTTATAAAAAAGATATTACGTTAAATTAGGACTATTCCCAAAAGTTCATTATGAACTTTCAGTATGAGAAGAGTATAAGTTGTGTGTTATATTAACTTCAAACAAAATTGCACACTTTGGACTTTTTTGATTATATGAAGCTTTGCTCCAGTGTCTGAATTCTACTCCTGATCTCTTCTCGATGGTTGGCAGAGAAAGAATGGGAGCATTAAGATGGGAAGCATAGTGAGGGCTTCCTAAAACAAATATGCAATCCTCTTTTGTGATGGACAGGAGCAAGGCTGTCCACATTCTACATCGGTATGCTCAACAATCTAGTCAAACCGAGGCTACATTTTCCCCTGCTTTAGTTTCTTCTTTTGTGAATGAAGGGATTGATTTTGTTCATCTTAAGCTCCTCTTCTATGATTTTATAACTGAGCTCACACTGTAGGAGTTGGAAATTCAAATCTTTGGTGGCCAGCCTCTGCATCCTTTGTAGATTTGGGTATAATTCCGTTTGTTCAGGTAATCAAAAGGGCAGGTCAGGCCTAAAGGGACTCCCCCCACCATTTTGTTCCTCTGAGGTATTTTTATTATCCAGATGAAAATGTGAAAAACAAATATGTAATACAAGCTGTTTGTCCTGTCCATAAAAAGAGGATTATTTGAAAATTTTATTAAATTTTAGTAGGAAATATCTATTATGTTACTCAAAGATCTTGATAAGTCTGCACAAAAAATTTCTGTTTGTGTTAAATTAAGAAAAAATTTTCTGCAGACAAAGGTACATTCATTTATCTGTCAGGAAGTAGAATCCATGCAACATGACATGTTTTCCCTTTAACTTAGCAGCCAGAAAACAGAAAGCCAGATTCGGTGATGAATTATATGAATCTTACCATCTTAAATGTATAGTAGTATCATTCCTCTCCGCTTCCTTTAAACTATCTCTATCGATTTCTCTATTTTATTACTAATTGTCTTATTTTTATTTTTTGATATTTAATTTTAACAATTTCAAATACATTTTTGGAAGGAGACAAACATCAACCATAATAACAATAATATGATTAGGTGAACAAATTATATAGTCAAATCTTCCAGTAAACTCAAACATAATACTGGTTGGTATTTAAATATTCAGAATATCATGTCATGGGAGAAAATACCCTGAAAAGCATAATTCATCTTTATAAAGGTATTCTACTGTGAATCTTTAAGCCGCAATGACCAGAAGGGAGACACAAGAATCATTGCTAGGCTTAAGCCTAAGTTCCAGAACACTTTAGACCACCTAAGAACAACACCGAACTCAGAAAAACTGGATACCCCAATTCTAGCCAGGAAGGCAGCAGAGCAAGTTAAGTATAAACACAACTCAGGAACAATTCAGCCAAGTGACTTGCTGGAAACGCAGAAAAAATGTGAAAACTCTGGAATTTCCCAGATGTCATTGAACTAAGGCAGAATTACAACGATTCAGGCTCATTTAAATCTCATTTAGAGAACTGGGAACCAGAAGTGTCAGAAAACACTCAATGTTGCATGCTGATAGCACAGGATGGAGAATGATAGGGCTGCAGTTATTTTTTTGTATAAAAAAAACTTATGAGTGCATAACACAGTCTTATAGGCTGATTTAAGAATTACAACTTATAAGAACTGGAATAATGATCGAAACCTAGAGGAAAAATAGTTTAAACCCACCTTCTCTGACAAGAAGCCATTTATTGAATAAATTTTTGCTCTGCTGACATGAAATGGAAATCTTGCCCAGAAAAAAATTTAAGAAAGTAAAAGTAGTATACAGAGTATGTAGGAGTCTAAAAATTGTCTCCCTGAAAATGAAATCCTTGTATACAACCCTTTTAAGTTAACCTTCCTAAAATGCAATTCTTATTGATTATTATTATGTTCATTCAAACATTTTTCAAAGCGTTTAATTAAATATCGTAGGAAGAAACAAAGGCAGGTGAGACATAGCACTGTCCCCTGCAACCAAATTCAATTTATGGATTTTGCTTCCTGCATGTCCAAATTCCTTAACTGCATACAGGGTTTTTTTTTTCCATCTCCCCCTTTCTCCCATTCTCTCTCTCTTTCTTCTTTCTTTCTTTTTCTTTTCTTTTCTTTCTTTCTTTCATTTTCTTTCTCTCTTTCTTTTTTTCTCCCTCTCCCTTCCTCCCTGCCTTCCTCCTTTCCTTACTTCTTTCTTTCCTTTCTTCCTCCTTTTCTTTCTCTACTCTCCTCTTCTCCTTCTCTCTTTCTTGGTGCCTTCATTTTGATGTTTGTTGTCTTTATCCCAACCAACCCTCTTAAGGACACTACAACTCCTCAAAGTGATTTTGTGTTTAAACAAGCTAAATTATTTTCTCTCAACTTTAGAACTGTATTCACATGATCTTCGCAAATGCAAACCAATCTCCCCAGACCATCTCTACATGCCGAAACCGCATCCATCTTTCAGAGTCCAACTCAAATCCTTCCCTACATTGGAGCTTGACATGTGACCAATGACATTCAAACCGTGCCTCTGTCACTGCCTACCTGTGTGACCTCAGACAACTTACTTCACTTCTCCTCAGCCTCTGTTTCCTCCTCTGTAAAATGGGCATAACACTTACCTCAGAAACTTATCCTAAATGTTACATGAGATAATACTGCATGAGGAAATACCTTAGCACATTATGGTACAGAATTAAAGGCCTACACATGTTTGCTAGCATCATACTATTTTTGTTAATAATTCTGAAAATGAAATGACCACTTCCTCCACAGAAAACCACAGAATATGTGTTCCTTTCTAATGATTTTTATTAGAGTTATTTTTAACCTCTTATTTCTTCTACCACATTATACTCCGTAAATGTGTCTTGCATATTGTCAAATATGATTCACAAATATGCAATGAGTATTTTATTTTATTCATTTCTCCTAAAAACAAAACAAAACAAAACAAAATGGGATACATGTGCAGACCGTGCAGGTTTGTTACATAGGTATATGTGTGTCATGGTGGTTTGCTGCACCTATTGACCCATCCTCTAAGTTCCCTCCCCCTACCCTCCACCCCCCAACAGGTCCTGGTATGTATTGTTCCCCTCTCTGTGTCCATGTATTCTCAATGTTCAACTCCCACTTATGAGTGACAACATGCGGTGTTTGGTTTTCTTTTCCTGTGTTAGTCGGCTGAGGATGATGGCTTCCATCTTCATCCATGTCCCTGCAAAGGACACGATCTCATTCCTTTTTTATGGCTGCGTAGTATTCCATGGTGTATATGTACCACATTTTCTTTATCTAGTCTATCATTGATGGGCATTTGGGTTGGTTCTATGTTTTTGCTATTGTAAATAGTGCTGCAGTAAACATGCATGTGTATTTATGTAGAATTATTTATATTCCTTTTGATATACACCCAGTAATGAGATTGCTGGGTCAAATGGTATTTCTGATTCTAGATCCTTGAGGGATCGCCAGACTGTCTTCCACAATGGTTGAACTAATTTACATCCCCACTAACAGTGTATAAGCATTCCTGTTTCTCCACAGCCCTGCCAGCATCTGTTGTTTCCTGACTTTTTAATAACCCTCATTCTGACTGTCATGAGATGGTATCTCATTGTAGTTCTTATTTGCATTTCTTTTAAGATCAGTGATGTTGAGCTTTCTTTTCATGTTTGTTGGCCATGTAAATGTCTTCTTTTGAGAAGTGTCTGTTCATATCCTTTGCCCGCTTTTTGATGAGGTGGTTTTTTCCTTGTAAATATGTTTATGTTCCTTGTAAATTCTGAATATTAGACCTTTATCAGATGGATAGATTGCAAAAATTTTTTCCCATTCTGCAGGTTGCGTGTTCACTCTGATGATAGTTTCTTTTGCTGTGCAGAAACTCTTTAGTTTAATTAGATCCATTTGTCAATTTTGGCTTCTGTTGCAGTTGGTTTTGGTGTTTTTGTCATGAAGTCTTTGCCCATGCCTACGTCCTGAATGGTATTGCCTAGGTTTTCTTCTAGGGTTTTTACGGTTTTGGGTTTTACATGTAAGTCTTTAATCCATCTTGAGTTAATTCTTGTATAAGGTATAAGGAAGGGGTCCAGTTTCAGTTTTCTGCATATGGCTAGCCAGTTTACCCAGCACCATTTACTTAATAGGAGATCCTTTTCCCATTGCTTGTTTTTGTCAGGTTTGTCAAAGATTAGATGGTTGTAGATGTGTGGTGTTATTTCTGAGGCCTCTGTTTTGTTCCATTGGTCTGTATGTCTGTTTCGGTACCAGTACCATGCTGCTTTTGTTATTGTAGCCTTGTAGTATAGTTTGAAGTCAGGTAGCGTGATGCCTCCAGCTTTGTTCTTTTCCTTAGGATTGTCTTGGCTATACGTGGTCTTCTTTGATTCCATGTGAAATTTAACATAGTTTTTTTTCTAATTCTGTGAAGAACGTCAATGGTAGTTTGATGGGAATAGCATTGAATCTATAAGTTACTTTGGGCAGTATGGCCATTTTCATGATATTGATTCTTCCTATCCATGAGGATGGAATGTTTTTCCACTTGTTTGTGTCCTCTCTTATTTCCCTCAGCAGTGGTTTGTAGTTCTCCTTGAAGAGGTTCTTCACATCCCTTGTTCTCTGTATTCCTAGCTGTTTTATTCTCTTTGTAGCAACTGTGGATGGGAGTTCATTCATGATGTTGCTCTCTGCTTGCCTATTGTTGGTTTAAAAAATGCTTGTGATTTTTGCTCATTGATTTTGTATCCTGAGACTTTGCTGAAGTTTCTTATCAGTTCAAGAAGTTTTGGGGCTGGGATTGGGATGTTAGACCCTGGTGGCATGGGTTCACGAGTGGGATCTCCTGATCTTTGGGTTGCCCAGTTCCACGGAGAAAGCACAGTTTCCCCCACTGGGTAGTGTGCTCACTCGCTGCCTCCCTTGGCTGTGGGGTGGGGGTCCCTCTTCCCCTTGTGGCTCTCAGGTGGGCCGCCACACAGCACTGTTCTTCCCTCTCTCTGTGGGTCATGCCAACCTTCTAGTCAGTTTTGATGAGAGAACCTGGATACCTTGGTTGCCGGTGAAGGATTCACATGCTTATTATGGTTTTTTTGGATGGGAGCCTCCGAATGTTGTTGCTTCTAGTCAGCCATCTTGGCCCCACCCTGTACAATATGTATGAGTATTTTAATGCTTTTTTCAAAAATTATTATTTTTTATCTTGAAAGAAGTCTGATGCATGATTTATTAGGAGCCTGTGTGTTTTGGTTTCTACCTTCGAGAAACATTCACTTTGTGCTGCCTCACCGAACTCTCCCACTTATAAATCCCCAGCTCGAATTCATTCATCTTCCATACATAGCCTTTGTAGGTGTAATTTTTCACTTTGTTGAGTATTCATAGATCTTTGGTCTTAGACACCTTGTCATATTCTGTTTCACTTTATAGTTATGTGTGGATATTTCTCATGTGTTCCACATCCATTATAAACTCCTTAAGGCTGGGCAATACTTCTTAGTTTTTAACCTCTTCATTTTTAAGCCCTTGCATTTCATAGTTTGTCCATACAATAATCCATTCCTGAATTCTTCCCCTGATTCCTCCCCCGTGCTCACAGGGCACTGACAGCTGAGGCTGGCAGTCACTGAGCTCCACTGCAGAGTGCGGGTGGGAAGAAGGCAAGCAGCATGTGAGTCCTGCTTTGCCACTCTCTCTGTTGCTTCAACTTCTCTGACATAGGCTCCTCAACTGTATAAGTTTTTATGTAGGTTGGATTATACATACAAATATAAAAATGTTAGAGAATTGCCTGGCAGAAGTACTGTGGATGCAAAGTCAATGTCGATATTTTTCACTTATTTTCACCAGGAAATTATTTACTAGGAGAAGGAACCCCCAGGAATGATGTACTCAAAGTAAACTATACTTTGGTGAGCATTCTGAATAATGGCACATGCTGTAGTGTACGTCCCTGGAACAGACCTTAAAACCTTTGTAAAGGTAGCCTTGGGAGGGGAAACGAAAAACCAAAGAGTGACGAAGCTGAAAAGGAAAATGCAGCACACATCAACTCTCCTGTGGGAAACTCTTCATTGTTGCTTTTGTTTTAGTTCTTCTTGTTTTATAATGAAAAAGAGTAAGTTGCCTGTTCTAACATACTTGGATTCCTGGTGAAATAGGATTTCCTTTCTGTGACCTGAGGCTGGCTGTATTCTTCACATATCCTAATGTCAGACTGCATTTTCTAATTTCTGCTGGAACATTTTTTTTGTGGCCTGAGGGAAGCCTGAATTTCCCTCTTTTCTTTCTGTTTGCTGTGTCAGCAGGGTTGGCTATACCAGAATCGCATGTGAAGTCAAGTGTTGCTTGATCCAGGGCCTCCAGAATCAAACTCATCTATCAATTGGTGAGCAGAGCACACATTTGCTCTCTGTTTTTCTAATCTAGAATATAAGCAAACCTATAGGTAGCCTGACTGCTGCCAAGATTATCTGCAGAATCTATCAATTTCATCGAATTTTCTACTTCATGTTTTGGTGACTCAATATTAACATGGGAAAACCTCAAAATCTGATTCTATTGTTAAAGTTTCAAAATCTACTGTTCTCTTTATAGGTATGTAAATAACTTTATTTATTAGTTATTTGTTGATTTACTTATATATAGACATGGGGTCTCACTCTATTGCCCAGGCTGGTTAAATCACTTTAGGGAAAATAACTTTGTATAATATTAAAAGTTCATACTTTATTTTTCATATTTTTGGTAAAAAAAATAGAATGAAAAACATTTAAATGTAAAGCACCCATCTGATTTTATTTAGAAGCTAGAGTTCAGCAAATACCGGTTCACTGCTTCTTTTCACATGGGAAACAAGACATACACATCAGTAAATTTGGTCTGTCTTTATCACCCTGCACCAGGTTGTAAATCTGAACAGTTTTCAGACTTTATAAAGTGCCACTCCTCCATCATGTCTTCACTCAGAGAAATTCCATTGGTTTGATACAATTATACTATTAGAGTTAATGTCTAATTCATAACCTGCCATGGTCTCATTTTCCCAAACTACATCATGTAAATAAATCATTTCATCTTACCGTTTGCTATATTTAAAATTAGTGTGTCCAGGTGACCTCACAATACTGTCATTAAAAGGCAGGTTTGTAATATGATCAAGTTTATGAAGAGTAAATCCATAATTATTTGCCACCTAAGTCAAAAAGTCAGAAAATTGACAAATTATCTTCTTGTTTTAAAAAATTAGATTGTTTTATCTTTATGGTTCTGCATGGAACAGAATAAAACAAAATATAGACAATGCTGCTTCATTTGCACAAAGATTGACTTACATTCAGAATGCAAAAATATGCCAGAAGATGCCAAGCTATGAATAATTCAAATATATAACTTGGCATAGTTAAGAGACAATTTTTTAAATGCATAAAGAAAAATACATAATTGATTACGTAGTATGATGGAGTTACCATGGTTGTGTAACAAATCACCCCAAAACACAATAATATGAAATAGGCATTTCTTATCCTCATAGATTCTGAGAGTAAGGCATTAAGGCAGGACCCAGTGTGTGTGGCCTAACTCTGATGTCTTATGTCTGAGGCCTTACCTGGTGGGGTCGAAGTGAGAGTCTACACTCATCTCTAGGTTTGCTTACTCACCTGTCTGGCAGTCAATGCTGCTTGTTGAAATCTGTGCACAGTGGTTTCCTGGCAGTATAGTGCCTGAATTCCAAGCTTCTCAAGAAAGGGACAGCCCACCAACACTCTTTATCTTTTTTATGACCTGGCCTTGAAAGCCACAAGCCCATCCAGATTTAATGAAAGTAAATTTCTCAGGCTTGGTTATTGATAACAATAAACTTGGATCTTGGTAGCAATGTGCCAAAAGAACATATGGGATTGGAAATATTTCTGTGGCCATTCTTGGAAAACCCAAGTAGCACACACCCTTATTATGATACAGAATGTTCCCATCACCCAGAAAGTTCCCTCATGCCCCTCCCAGCTATTTGCAACCTACAGGCTCCCCCAGCAAATGACTGTTCAGATTTATTGCATCATGATTAATTTTGCCTCTCCTAAAGCTGTACATAAATACAATAATACAGCTTGTAGTCTTTTACATCAGCTTCTTTGTCTTAGCATGTGTCTTCCAGACTTGTTTGGGTTATTCGATATATCAGTATTTCTTCTCCTATTATTAGAGCATAATATTCCATTAGATACAGCAATTTCATTTTCCTGTTAACAGACATAAGGGATATTTTCAATTCAGGACTACTATGTGTAATGATGTTATCAGTATTCTTTATGATGTCCTTTCATACATTTTCATTTCCCTAGGATTAATATCTACCAGAGGAATTTGCTGGGTCACAGAATAGGTATATGCTTACCTCTATGAAAAACTGAAAAATGATTTTCCTTAGTAGTTGTGACATTTTACACAATCACAAGCAATGTGTCCTTCCCCACATTTGATATTGTCAGTCTTCTTTTGTTTCATTTTAATCTCAATCATTCTAGTGGATGTGTAGTAGTATCTTATTGTGGTTCTAATTTGGAGTCCCTTAATTATTAATGCTGCTGAGGACTTTTTCATGTGCTTATTAAATATTATTTCTTTTGTGAAATAACTGTTCCAATCTATTCTCATGTTTTGTTGTTTACCTTTCTGATGAGTTATCAAAGTTTTGAAAATCTATTCTGTTCATGAAAGATTTTGGTCAGATGTTTTAAGAATATTTTATTCTTCTATTTAATAATGTTCTTTTTCTTCATGATTTCTTCTGAGGAGCAGAAGTCTGTAACTTTATGTAGTTTAATTTCTCATTTTTTTCTTCTTTTGTTGACTACTTCTTTCTGTGCCCTTCACAATATTTGCCAACATTATAGTCATGAAGATATTATTTTATATTTTCTTCCAGAGGCTTTATAACTTCAGTTTTTATACTTTGGTCTATAATCTAGGTTGAGTGAATTATGTTTGTAGTAGAGGTAAACTTTTAGCTCATTTTCTTCCCCAAATGTATATCTAGTTGTTCTAGCACCGTTTGTTGAAAGAACTTTCATTATAGAAATGCCTTGATGGCTTTGCTGAAAATCAATTAACCTATGCTTGTAAGTCTACTTATGGACTACATGTTCTGTTCCATTTGAATTCTTGATCATCCTTACCCCAGTACCACACTGCCTTGATTACTGTAGCTTTATAGTAAATCTTAAAGTCATGTATTTTGTATCTTTCAAAGTTGTTTTAATTTTTAAGACTCTTTTAGCTATTCTAAGTCCCTTGTTTTCTGTATAAATTTTTAAATCACCTCATCAATTTTTATAAAAGAAATTCTAGGATCGCGATTGTTACTGAATCAGTGAATCTATAAATTTGGGGAGAATTGATATATTAACAATATTGAATTTTCTTATTCATGAACGTGGTTTTTTTATTTAGTATTCTTTATTTTCTCGAATCAGGTTTTATATTTATTTTAGAGGTCTTGCTCTGTTCTTGCTAGATTTATTTCTTAGTATTTTATGCTTTCTAAGAGTATTAGAAATGGAATTTAAAAATCTAATTATGGGATTCAAGTTTTAAAAATACAATTGATTTTTGTTTGTCAACATGTTACCTTGCCATTGGCTAAATTTACTTACTAATTTAGTAATTGCTTTGTAGATCCCTTACAATTTCCTATGCAAACAATCAGATCTCTTGAGAACAGAGAGAGTGTTGCTTCTTCCCTTCCAATCTGCATTATTTGATTTTATTCTTTGCTTCATTGCACTGACCAGGACCTCCATTTCAATACTTAGTGCCTATTCCCAGTCTTAGTGGGAAAATGTTCAGACCTTGATCATTTAGTTTGATGTTAATTATAGATGTTTCCTTTAGCTGATAGTATTGAAGAAGTTCCCTTCTATTCCTAGTTTTCTAATTAAAAAAATTAATAATTTTTTTTGGTCAAATGCTTTTTCTGCATCTATCGAAATTATTTTCTTCTTTTGTCTATTAATAATATGAATTAAATTCATTGATTTTAAACTGTTAAACCAAATTTGCATTTCTTGCCTATACTCCATAAGATCATGGTGCTTCTATTTTTGTATATTTTTGGATTTAATTTGCTAACATTTTCTAAAGGACTTTTGCTTCTATGTTCATGAGAGGTTTTTTTTTATTTTTTTCTTGTAGTAGCTTTGTCAGGTTTTGATATCAAGTTTGTCATGGTAAATTATGTGAGCATCTCTACCAAAATCCCTATCCTGTACATAAATGTCACCACCACAACCACCAAGAGTTTCAGTCTCTTTCCTTTCCTCTTCAGTCTGGGTTAGTCTTGTAACTTGCTGCGACCAGTAGAATGTGGTAACACTTGGCAGTTCTCTGTCCACATGTTACAGGGCTGACAGCTTCCACTTTAGGTCTGGTAGGACCCAATGTGAGCAATTCAATGATAAGGGAACACATAGAGAGAGAAATAGCACAGTCTTCTAATGATCTCTCCCAGTGCCCCAGGCATGTGGGTAGACTAAAGTCCTCCAGCCCTGCTCATCTAATATCTGAATACAGCAATATGAGTGACACCAGCTGACACAGCAAGGAGCAATGTACCACAGAGCTGAGACCAGCCAACCACATAGAACCCTACAAATAATAAATTTTTGTGTTTTAAACCACCGGTTTTTGTGGCTGTTCATTAAACAGCAGTAGAAAACCGATATAATTATGCTAGCCTCATAAAACAAAATGTGAAGTGATTCTATAACCCCCCCTTTTTTTTTCTAAAAGAGATTGTATAAATGCAACCATATGGGCTTGGAGTGTTCTGTATGGGAGGATTTTTTATAATAATAAATTTAATTCTTTATTAAATATAGGATTATTTGGATTCCTAATTCATCTTATTAATTTTTATGAGTTGTTTTATATGTCTTTTTCTATTTCATTTATATTTTTGCAATTATTAGCAAGAAATTTATTTTAGTATTACTTTTTTTCTTTTTAATATATAAAAGATTTTCAGGAATATACTCACTTTCATTCTGATTGGTATTTTGTGAGGATTTTTGCTTCAATGATTTTTTTGTAATTTGGTTTTTTTGTTTTAATTAATTATTGTTTCTATCCTTATTACATCCTTGCATCAACTATTTTGGTTAAGTTTGCTCTTCTAGCTACTTAAGGAAAAAATTTAGACTATTTATTTTTCTTTTTTAATATAGGAATATAAAGCTATAATTTTCTTTATAAATATCACTTTCCTTAAACATGTCCTTCCAGCAGCTTCCCAAGAAAGGATAAGAAATATACGTTCTTGGTTTAAGTTTTTGCATGCTGAAAATATGTGTTTAATCTCTCCTCATCTCTGATTAACTTTTTTCTGAAAAAAGAGCTGTAGATTGGAAATAATTTTTTTCCCAGAATTTTGAAGTCATTAGTTCTTTGTTTTCTAGCTTTTGCAGTTACAGGAAAAAAGTTGAATACCATTTTGATTCTCTTTCTTTTGTGTGTGAATTATTTTTTCCCAAAATACTGTCTAGGATTTTTGTCTTACAATAAGGCTCCTTGCTGTGGGCATTTTTACATTTGCAGTGCCAGTACCTGGTGTTTTTCAGTCAGGAGGAGATGGATGGCATTCGATTCTGGGAATTGTTTTCAGTCATTCACTGATAATTTCTTTCTATTTTTTTTCCCTGTTTTCTCTTTCTGAAATGTCTATTAATTGAATTCTGGACCCCTTTGTCAATTTCTAACTTTACTTTTTCTAAACTGTTTACTTTCTTTTTATTTGTTCTTATTCACTGGGGGGTATTATCAACTTTATCTTTTAATCTTACTCTTTAAAGTTCTTGCTTCTGAAATATTATTAATGTTTCTTGTGTTTTAAGGACATCTTTTTTAGAATGTTTTCATTTTTTTCTTTTTTATTGTCATGTTCAAAGACATACAAATGGTCAACAGATATATGAAAAGGTGCACATCACTAATCATTGGGAAAATGTAAAACGAAATGGCAATATCACCTCACACCTGTTAGGATGGCTATTTAAAAAAAAATGTGCTGTTTAGAATGTGCAGAAACTAGAACCCCTGTATACTCTTGATGGGAATGTAAAATGGAGCGACCACTATGAAAAATAGTATAGCAGTTCTTCAAAAAAATTAAAATAGAATTACTCTATGGTACAGCCATAGTTTGTTTTCTGCTCCCTCGGTAACCTGTTTCCTTCCTTCCTTTCTTCTTTCCCTCCTTTCTTTCCTCTTTCCTTCCTCCCCTCCCCTTCCTTCTCTTTCCTTCCTTCCTTCCTTCCTTCCTTCCTTTTTCCTTCCTTTCATTTCTTAATTTGTTTGAGTTTTACAACTTACATGTCTGGTGATCTGTGTGGTCATCTCATATCTTAGAAGGGGACAGTAAGAGCAGGTTAGAAGTCCCGTGTATGAGAACAGGAGTTGTTGGATGGGGTTATTTTAGGGCAATCAAGCCTTTTTATAGGGCAAAAAAGCCCTGGTCTTTTCCTGAAGGGCACCCCAAATATCTATGATGAGGTATTACATATTTGTTGTTTTCTTGTTTAACCAGTTTCTCCACAGTAGAATTCCCCAGGTTTCTGTCTGTGGAGGTAAGAATTGTAAGTCCAGGAGAGAAAAGGAAGTTCCTCTTACTCACTCTTTTCTATTTTTAGCCCCACACAGAATCTCTACCTTCCCTTGTATCTCGCTTCACCAAGGCTGGAGCCTCTTTAGCTTGGCTTCTGCAGAAAAGAAGACTGTGGTCTGTGACAGATGTCAGGGCCAGGGCCAATCCCTGCCTCAGCAGGATGGGAAAAACTGCCTACTTGAAAATGGATTTCAATCCATGTTTTGTTTACAGCTGCCTCCTCTGGGGCCAGTGCCTTTGAATGATGACCCTTTATAGTTTCTATGGAGCAAATTGACACAACTTCATTGGTATTGTGAACTCCACAGCCTCTCAAGTTATAATTTGTATAATTTCTCCTGCTTTCCTAAGTCACACATCACTCCCAAACTCTGTCTTTCCAAAATTAGCATAAATGTTTTGCCTGCTGCAATCTTCCCATTACCTTTATGAGTTAGTATGCTTTTTGGAAAAATTCCTTTACTGTTATTTTTATTTGTGTTTTAGGAGAAAGAGGAGATAAACACATGCCAATCAATATTCCATGTTTAACTCATATTCTTTGTCTGAACTTGAACTGATTTAATATCTAGCAATATTATTATGTTAATTTAGTTACCTCTCCAGAGAGCACAATGAAGTACTTAGTCCAGGTATTTTGGTGTTGCAGTTAATGAAGATGAATTCCAAATAAGAAATATGTATTTATAAATTGATTACCTATGTCCATCAATGTAAACATATTTCTTTATATAAATTGAGTACAATAATGCGTTTCTCTTTTATTACTTATTAATTATAGATTTCAAATATTATCTCAGCCACCTAGATGTGAGATGAACAAATAGGTGATAGACTAGAGAGATAGATAGGCAGATAGATAGATAGATAGATAGATAGATAGATAGATAGATAATAGATAATGTGTGAGTTCCCACTCCTGCTGAGATTTTTAAAATGCAGCAGTGCTATTTTTAAAGAACATGAATAAAATTGCAGATAGGTGAAGAAATTATTGACACTGCTCTCAGTTTCTTATTGGTAGATGATAAAGATAGCCTAGAAATTAAGTTGTTAGGAAACTCACTCCTCTCTACCAGTTGAGCTGAAAATGGAAGGCTGTCATAAACTAGAAACAGTAAATGGAGGCGTAGACGGACTTGGATCTATGAGATTCTTTTAGTGGATTGTGCAGCAGTTTCATTCCAAACCCAAAACACAGAGGACACTGGATACATAATTATGTTTGCATTTGGCTCCTTTCTACTTGTGTTATTTTTCTTGGCTTAAGACTGTTTAAGTGTTAGAATGTCTTCAGTCTTTTATTTACTTATGATGTTCAGAACCAGCAGACTTTGTGGATTTAGGACTGTAGAACAAACCCTAGATTAACTTAGCTTTTGAATGTCCTTTTGTTAAAATATAAAGGATTCTATTTGGCCCATCAAAACAGATATTAGGTACATTCTTTGCATTAAAGCACGCCCACATCTTTCACTAAGGAGGCACAATTAGGAATCAAATTCATGATCCTCTTGTTTCAAAAGCAATGTTTACTCCAAGACAAGATATTTTGATGTTAGTAATATTTAAAGCAGGTTTCCAAAAAAAATCCATTGAAGTATAGGATAAAAAAGATTCAGAGATAAATAAACTTCCAAGATACATTTCTATAATAACTGGACATTCAATTCAGAACTATGTAACCATCAGCTCAGATAACTGAGTTATCTACAAGCCACAGTGAATACAGAAAATGGAGCTACTCTCCAAGACCATTGTCTTAGAACCTGTGGCAAGATATAACCCAAAATTCATTTTTTAAATTGGCATATAGCTTTTTTAGTTCATATAAACAGACCACTTAAGTTTGGTTTTAATATTGAAACATATTATCATAGAGGCTGTCCTGAAGCGTTCTTTTTCTCTCAGATCAGTTCAGAACCTCATGAGGCTATTTTCCAAATAAATACTCCACTAGTGTTTACAGTTCAAGTGACCCTGCACAGGAAAAGAGAAAATTTTCTCTATGGCTATTGGAGAAATTGATCTTTAAAGTCCTTATAATCTGGGAGCTATGCTCATGGAGTTAATGGAGAAGATATTCTTTTCTGAAAATTTTTCCTTAAGCGTTCATAAAATTCAGGCTCACATGACATTTTTTGTTTGCTATTGTGGGGTTTTTTAAAAAAATCAAAACAACAAAATGCAAGTAAAAATAAAGAAAACTATGAAAACTTTGATCCAGTGTTTGTTTCACACCAAAATACGTTGCATGATATATTCTACTACATTTTAATCAAATCACTGTGGGAGAATATCAGGGGTACATAAGAAAGTTCATACAATGGAAAAATAATTTTTAAAACAATACAAATATGAAAGTCATTAAAATAGTCAATATCTGATTTTCATCTTCTGGGAATTACTCAAAATTCATTAAAATATTATTTTATCCTAATTTTTTTCCAGAAACCTAGTGATGGATATTTCAGAACTTTGTACTATTATTCTGTATTCTATCCAGCAAATGTCAAAGATTTTGTGGGAGAACTAACTGTCCACAAGGTTCACTCTGTTCTCCAAAGTGTCCTATCCTGACTCTGAAACACATTGTTCTATCAAGATTCTCCTTTGCTATTTTCACCCATGATTAGAAAACCCCAAAGAGTTAAAAATCGTGGCATTTTTATATATAACTTTTCAAATATTGAAAGCGCTTTTGAATGAGTACAGGGCAGCTTCCAGCTTGTGAACTACAGAGTAACAGTCATAAATTGTCCACTTGTAGCCAAAGTTCCTTTCGATTGATTAAAATTCTATCTGCTCAACCATGATTTAAATTCGATTTACTAAGTGAGCAAAAACCTGTGAAAGTGATGACTATGTGAAACAAGTTCAGTATCATCAAAAAATTAATAGAGAAGTTTAATGTTTTAGTTAATGATATTGAATAATTGTTACTGTGCTGCAGGATAATTGGAGATAAATGGGAGAGGTCAACTACGTAAAGAACTCTCCATCAGGCTTGAGCGCAAATCTCAGCTCTGTTCCTGACAAACTGCATAATTTGAACATGTTTCTTAACCTCTCTATGACTCAATTTCACAGGAAACAGGAGGTAAATGCAGCACCATGTTATGGGGTTGCTAAGAGAATCTTATGAAATGATTCAATAGAGAGTTTAGCCCAGATGTCTCCAGCATCCGACAGATATTGGTACCATTATTATTATAACTATAATTAATATTAATTTACATTAATAAATCAAGTCTTATGAAGTCATATGGAGGAAAGGAATTGAGCAAAAGCTTACCTTTCTCAGGTCCCCTGAACTTTTCCTCCTTTCTATGGTTTGGATGTTTTTGTCCCCTCCAAAACTTGTTAATCTCCAAACTTAATTCTTAAGGCGACAGCACTGGGAGCTGAGACCTAATGGAAGGTGTTTATGTCATGAGGGCTCTTCTCTTGTGAATGGATTAATGCTGCTATGAAAAGGACTTGCAAGAGTGGGGATTTTCTCCTGCTCTCCTGCCATGTGAGGATAAAATATTCCTCCTCTCCAGAGAATGCATGATTCAAGTCTCTATCTGGAAAGCAGACAGACCAGGCCCTAAGGCCCTAACCTGCCTGTGCCTTAATTTTGGACTTCCCAGTTCCCAGAATTTTGAAAGAATAAATTTCTGCTCTCTATAAATTACCCAGTCTATGGTGTTTTGTCATAGCAGCATAAAATGAACTAAGACACCCCCCTCTTTAGAGATCTTTAATGGGACAGGTGTGAGGCTCAAATATGAAATGTACTCAAACAGAGGAAATCATCCATACATTAAAAGTAAGAGAGAATATCTACAAGAATCAGATTAATCCTGTTATTACATCTCAGGAATTGGCACCAGCTACTGCCATCTCCCTGGGTGATTTTCAAAGGCCAAGAGTTTCTGCCCAATAGCCCCATCGTTAGTCAAGGACCTTCATCGTTCCCATCCCCTATCCATGTACTGATCCTTCTTTCCCAACAAGTCCATCCCCCAAATCAAAATGTACTTTTCCTTTTTTACAAATTAACCATACCTAGACTGTTTAGATAAATTGTCTGTGAATTGTCTGTAAAGGTGGAATGAAGCTCAATCCTTCTGGGGTTAAGCTACTCCAGTCTTCTCTATTCACCATCTTTTGAGAACATCAGATTGTGTGCATGCCAATCTGTCAACCTAACCCCACTTTATTTATCTGCCCTGGAAATTCCTCTTTATCCTTAAATACACAGTTAAAGTTTCATCTTTCCTCTAAAGTATCCCAGGATGCCCCAAGCAAAGTTAATCACTTCTCCTCTTTCTACAGCCCTTTGTTTTCTTATTTAAAATCATAATATTTATTGCTTTATTCATTAACATATGTGTCTCCTCTCTTAGACAATAAGCCAGGGGCTGTCTTATTCTTTTTTGTAGCTTTTTATATACCTAGCCCAAGCCGATAGTACAACAGGTCCCCAACAAATGCTATGTGGACAACTTCCATTGATGATTCTATTCTAAAATGAATGCATTTGGCTTTGGACCTGGAAAATATTCACCAAGTATATTATTTTCTCCCCAATTCAGAATGGATATAAATGAACCTAAAACCTCCTCATGTCTGAAACTGTGAGGTGTGTTTTTAAGTTTCATCTCTTTGTGGATCTACTGTAGGAAAACAGCAATATAAAGAGAATGAGACAGAAGCTTTGACATCAGAAAGACTAGGTTCAAGCATTGACCTCAGTCTGACATCTAACAGCCAAGAAGCTTTGCACATGCCACTTTCCTTGCTAAGCTTTAGTTTTATCTTCTATAAAAATGAAAAAAATCTTCATGCCTTCTCTATGGAGATGTTGTGAGCATTAACTGAAATGATGTATCAAAAGAGCTGAGCAAAGGCTGGCACATGACAATGCTGAGTAAATGCAGTGATTGCCTCTATCTTAGTCCATCTGTGCTATAACAAAATACTCAAGAATAAGCCATTTATAAATAACAGAAATTTATTTCTCACAGTTCTGGAGGCTGGGAAGTCCAATATCAAGACACTGCCAGGTTTGGTGTCTGGTGAAGGCTCATCTCTGTTTCTAAGATGGTGCCTTGTTGCATCTTCCAGAGGGGAGGAACACTGTCTTCTCACATGCAGAAGGCAGGAGGGCAAGAAGGCTGAATGCTGTATGAAGCTTCTTTTGTAAGGGTTTTAACCCTATTCATGAGAGAGGGTCCTCATGGCCTACACACCTCTTGAAGACCTCCCCTCTTAATGTTATCCCATTGGCCATTAAGTTTTAACATCTGAATTTTGGAGGGGATGCATTCAAACCATAGCAGCTGCTAAGGCCCGTTGTTTTCCAGAAGCTTGGCTACGGAGCTGGGGGAATACCTGGTGTGGGAGAAAGATGGAGCCAAAAATGTATACCACTAACAGGGTGTAAAAAAGTTTTGCACATGGACATTAATTAATGAAAAGATATGCCCTCAATCCTCAATTTCTCATTATCCAAAATGAATAATTTCCTAAATATATCTAATAGTTACCAGTCATGGGTATGAATATTGCAAATAGATGTTCCATTGATAAACTACATTTTGTAGTGATTGATAATTTATTTATATCATTTTTATGATACTTAGTCTGGAACTAAAAATAAATTTTAGTATTATATTTATTTTTAAGTAAACACCCTGCAAGCATAAAAAATACTTTAAAGACATGAGTAGCACTATGGTTAAGGAAATAGAATTCTATATTTACCTCATCATTATGAAACTTCTGAGTCTTACTTTCTACATTAGTGAAATTGGACAATGACTGTCCTATCAGGGGATGTTACGGAGATGAAAAAGGTTTTAAATGCAAAAATATTTGAAAACGTTTCAAAGTATACAAAATAAAAGTAATGGTGGTAATGATATGATAAAGAGTCAATCATCTTATTTTGGGAATCAAATTCAAAGCTAAATACTTCTGTTAAATTAAATTTGGCCTAAATCTGCCTTCCCACTTTGAGTCCTCCCATGGCAAACTACAACCTAACTCAGTGTGTAAACAAACTTCAGCCTAACTGAAGAGTTGATTCCTGTAACAAACAGGTGAGTCTTGGCCAATCACAGATCACAGATTGTCAGCTGATCAGACCATGTCAATATAGGGTAAATGCTTTACCACACCATCCCTAAGTAAGGCAAATTCCAAGCTGTAACCAACCATGCTGTTTCTGTAGAACATTTCTTTTCTATTAATACTGCCCCTGCCCCCATGTTGCTGGGTGGAGCTCCCAGTACCTTTCCTAGTTCTGATTACTGTCCAATTCATGAATCATTCTTTGCTCAAATAAACACGCTAAATTTAATTTATAAAAAAATTTTCTTTTAACACTTCATTTTTTTAAATTTTGAGGTTCAGGGTTATATGTCCAAGTTTATTATATAGGTAAACTGTGTGTCACAGGCATTTGGTGAGCAGATAATTTTGTCACCCAGGTAATAAGTATAGTACCTGATAGGTATTTTTTTCTGATCCTCTTCTTCCTCCCATTCTTCACACTCAAGTAGGCCCCAGTATATATTGTTTCCTTCTTTGGGTCCATGCATTTTCATTGTTCAGCTCCCATTTATAAGTAAGAACATGCGGTGTCTGGTTTTATGTTCCTGCATTCTTTTGGTTAGGATAACAGCCTCCAGCTCCACCCATGTTGCTGCAAAGGACATGATCTCATTCTTTTTCATGGCTGCATAGTATTTATTCCATGGTGTATCTCTTCCACATTTTCTTTATCCAGTCTACCCTTAATGGGCATTTAGGCTAATTCCATGTCCTTGCTATTGTGAATAGTGCTGCAATGAAAATACACATGCATGTGTCTTTATGGTATAATTATTGATATTCCTTTGGGTATATACCCAATGATGGGATTGCTGAGTCAAATAGTAATTCCATTTTAAGTTCTTTGAGGAATCACCACACTGCTTTCCACAATGGCTGAACTAATTCATATTCCCACCAGCAGTGTGTATAAGTATTTCCTTTTCTCCACAACCTCACCAGCATCTGTGGTCTTTTGACTTTTTAATAATAGCCATTCTGACTGGTGTGAGATGGTATCTCACACTCCCTATTCAACAAATGGTACTAAGATAACTGACTAGGCATATGTGGAAGATTGAAACTGGATGTTTTCTTTATACCATACACAAAAGTCAACTCAAGATGGATTAAAGACTTAAATGTGAAACCTAAAATTATAAAAACTGTGGAAGATAGCTTAGAAGATACCATTCTGGACATAGAACCCTGGCAAAGATTTTATGACAAAGATACCAAAAGCAAGTGCAACAAAAACAAAATTGACATATGGGACCTAATTAAACTAAAGAGCTTCTGCACAGCGAAAGATACTATCAACAGAGTAAACAGACAAGCTACAAATGGGAGAAAATATTTGGAAACTACAGATCCAACAAAGGTCTAATATTTGGAATCTATAAGGAACTTAAACAAATTTCTAATAAAAAACGAAGCAACCCCACTAAAAAAAAGGTCAAAGAACATGAACAGATACTTTTCAAAATCAGACATACATGCGGCCAATAAACACATGAAAAAATGTTCAACATCACTGATCACTAGAGAAATGCAAAACACTTCATTTTACTTAAAAGCTATGCATTGGGGCATCTAGGCTATATGTTATGTGTTTTGTCTTATTTTTATTTTGTTTAACATCCAGAAAAGATAATTTTTTTTTTGAGATGGAGTTTTGCTTTTGTTGCCCAAGCTGGAGTGCAATGGCGTGATCTTGGCTCACTACAACCTCTGCCTCCCGGGTCCAAGCGATTCTCCTGTGACAGCCTCTCAAGTAGTTGAGATTAAAGGTGCCCACCACCACGCTTGGCTAATTTTTGTATTTGTAATAGAGATGGGGTTTCTCAATGTTGGTCATGCTGGTCTCGAACTCCTGACCTCAGGTGATCCACCCGCCTCGGCCTCCCAAAGTGCTGGGATTACAGGTGTGAGCCACCATGCCTGGCCCCAGAAGAGATATCTTTACTTTGTCTTCTGTAAATGTTAACAACTTATGGCTATCCAGCTTCAGAAAGGGCATAGCACAATAATATAATTATTTTATATGAGTCTCACAACAACCTATATTTTTAAGCAAAGAAATTACTATAGGATTAAATGACTATTATGAAAAGAAAAAAATTGGAAAAAATATTTGTCATACAAAAGCAAATTTTATCAGAGTCATCTTAGTTGTTATACAATCAATAAATGTTCTTAATCACAAGCATTTTGTCATGCCATATGGGGCAGCCTGGTGATTTATTACGTCTTCTTGAGAATCACTGATTGATTCTACTGTCTTTGAGGACAATGGTTCTTCACAAGAGTGTTTAGTGGTGTGTACTGTTTCATATCCTCCATGTCACACACCACCCATGTCCCTTTACCATGCCCCGGAGAATAACTTTTCATTTGGTATACAGTGTAGCCAGAGTGTGAGGCTAGCTGGAGTCCTATGTCACTGAGGGCTGGGTCATGGGTCTGACTCCCATAGGGCTCAGTGGGCTTGCGTTCTGCCCCACACCCAGACTGTACCCCAGTTTGACTATGTGTCAAAGAGAGGGTGGTTGGAAGAGGAGGCTTGGGTTGGTGCACACAGGTTGTCCCCATAGGAAAAGCTGCTCAAAGCATGTGCCTTACTAAAGGATATCTAGGAGACTTATTTCAAATTACAGGCCAATACAACATCATAATGTTCATTTACTGCACTGATTATCATGAAATCATCTATGTAAGAATTTATCACCACCCATGGCAGAAAAAGCCACACTGAAAGAGTGCCAATGTTCAATTTTACAATCATAATGATTAAAATTCTAAACATTGTTCTTAGAGATACCTCTTAAAGTCAAGCTAGAGTTCTTTCCTTCCTCCTGGAATCATTAGAAAATGATTCTTGTCTCAGACTCTGAAAGAAATCTTGCTGCGTTCATGATGAGATGGCTTTAAATACCTGTCCTTTTGATTAGGAATTAACATTGCACCTACTTAAGTGACCTCAGGTTAGAATACCAAGTTTTATGCACTGATTAAAATTTTTCATTGAAGCATGTTGCTGTTGGCCAGTTTCCCATGAAATCATTTATTTATGTAGTCAGCCAGCCAACCAACACATTTATTGAGCACCTATTATGAGCCAGTCACTCTTCTAGGTGCTGGACACTTAAAGCAGGTCTTAAACTTCAGTGGGGGTCTTGTTGTAACAGAGATTCTGATTCAGGAAATCCAGAGTGGGGCCCAAGATCCTGAATTTCCAAGAAACTCTTGCTGCTCCAAGGACCACCAAAATTATTGTATGAATTTCAAGAAAGATGGCTCTTGAGACCCAGCTTAAATTCTGCATTCCTAAGAGAATGGAGTTAACTCTAAATAGGGTCAGATTTTCAACTAAAGTTTGGATTTCCTATGCATATTTAACTAATTAGACATGATTATTGAAAAAAAGAACTGAATTAAATTAGCAAAAAAGTCTTAAAGGAGTTTTATGTTTTAGGCTGCACAGAATCTAATGGCTGACAAAATAATATCCAGTGACGATCTTCTTATATTTGACTACATGAAGAGATAAGATGTACTCTAATTATCCTCTTATATCCCACTGCATTTAGTTAAGCTTTACTTGCAAAGTGACTAAAAGGTTTGGGTAGTGCTTAAAATGCTGAAATAATGCTTCCTTCCTAAAAATTGCATACAGCTGTTAAAAGGTTTTTTCTATTGGCATATTTGGAAAAGCTATTGTATTTTCTGAACTGCTCTTTGAAAGCACAAATCCACTTACCAGAAGTTTCACAAGTAGGGTTTTTCATCTCAAAAGTGAAGTATGACAAGCAAAATCCCAGAGAAGATAGCATGGGATAATTCAAGAGGTTCCTAATTTATTACCTAAGTTTCCATGTCTGGGGGAAATTTTGTTGGAAATTGTACAGCCGTAAAATGAATGCTGAGTAGAGCAAAGTGGTTTCCAGGTTTTTTGTGGCTCTGTAAAACTAGGAAACCACAATTTATCAAGATAGAGCTCTGTGTCACAATCACCAACTGCATTTCAGTTTGATGAGTGATGCCTTTTTCCCCCCACCGAACACTCCCAAGCACTCTGTGTTCTACATCACTAAAATCCATGTTTTGCACAACTCTTGTATGGAAATGTAAAAACTTGAGGGGCCAATAGCTAACCTGTCCCTGATATTAAAAATCAAATGATTTTCATTTATGTCTATATGATAGAAGTTTTTACATGATTATCTACACTGAAAACACTCAGTTACACACACTGTCTAAAATACACACACTATCTAAAATTTCATAGCAACCCCAAATTTGGAATTGTGTTTTCAACTATTAAGCCTGTAGATGACTACTCTATCAAAGAGTATGCTTTCTCTTCCTTAAATACTGCTTTTGGACATCTAGTGGCACCTTTAAAGCATACACCCTACAAATATTTTCTTGCTTATCAAGGGGCGCTATTAGACAGCTATCTCTATCTCCGAAGAGATAGAATAAAGGCTGCTCCTCCTCAAATACCAGCTTTCATGAAGCTCCATAAAATGTAAAGCACAGCCAAGCTTGCTGTTCCCTTGGCAAATGCTTAGCAAAATTGCCTAATGTCTGAGAGCAATTTTAAAATATGCTAAAAACGATATGGCCACATTTGCCTGTATTCATTCTTGTGAGGGAAAAGTAGCTGAACATCCTTAGCCAGCCTCTTCAATCTGACTGTAAGAATTCCCTTGTGTTGTGGGTTCATTCAAAGCCAGCAGTATCGCTTTACACAGTTTTTCATTGCACTCAAGGGAAGTTTGTGGAAATGTTACAGAAATAAGCTACAAATGGGAATCTGGCCTTCTGCCAAACTGCCTCTCTCTCTCCTAACAACACATTTTTTTTCCTTTGGCACTTAATGTGTTCTATGTCATATTTAACATTTATCTAAGACTGGTTTCAGAAATACAGAATACAGGTCGAGTATCCCTTATATGCTTGGGACCAGAAGCATTGCAAATTTCGATGGTTTTGGATTCTGGAATATTTGCATATGTGGTCATGTGTCATGTAATGGCGGGCATACATTTTAAGAAATCGTCATTAGGAGATCTCATCACTGTGAAAACATCATACAGTTACTTACACAAACCTAGACGGGTTAGCAAACTAATACTGTGTGTATGTGTGTGTGTGTGTGTGCGCACGTGCATGTGTGTATGTGTATGTATATATGTTATGTGTTAATTAATAATGAATACATTCTTAGAAATGCGTCATTAGGTGGTTTTGTCTTTCTGCAAACATCATAGAGTGAACTTACACAAATCTAGATGGTAGAGGCCACTACACACTAAGCTGTATGGTACAACCCATTCATCTTAGGCTACAAACCTGTGCAGCATGCGAGTATACTGAATACTATAGGCAACTGGAGCACAATGGTAAGTACTTGTGTATTTAAATGTATCTAGAAATAGAAACAGTACAGTGAAAATATGGTATTATAATCTTATGGGGCCACTATCGAATAAGCAGTCCATCATTGACTGAAACTTCATTATATGGTGCATGACTATGAATAATGAGATATCTTGGGGATGGGACCCAAATCTAAACACAAAATTCAGTTATGTTTCATATGCAGTTTACACAGATAGCATGAAGGAAATTTTATACAATATTTTAAATAAATTTGTGCATAAAACAGTTTTGACCGTGACCTATCACATGATGTCAGCTGCGGAGGGTTCCACCTGTGGAGTCATGTTGGTGCTCAAGAAGTGTCAGATTTTGGAGCATTTTGGGTTTCAGATTTTTCTTTATTAGGGATGCTCAATCTGTATGACAATTATACCTCAAATAATTTTAGTAACTGATAATTGTGTCCCGTAACTGTGTGCCAGGCACCTTTCTAAGTCATATATGGACAAACTCACTAAATCCTTGCAATAACCCATGAGGTGAACGCTGCTATTATTCCTATTTTACAGATGAGAATACTGAAGCACCAAAAGGTTAAAAGATTTTCCTGGGGTCACTTGGCATATCAGTGGCAGAAGTGGAACTGAAACAGGCTTCCTAGCACCAGAGTCTAGGCTCCTAATCATTCTACCTATCCTAGAATCATTGCCTAGGTCTTGCACTATACATTTTTAAGAAATTGTGGTGCATTTATCTTTCAAAAATGGGTAAGCATTTTCTTATATTTTTGATTTACACAATATAACAAACCAGCACATATTATAAAATTGTGTTTAAAAATACAAAGTGTGACATTTATTTGGTTAGGCTAGGATGCCTTTCATTTTATAATCACAATAATTTTTTAAAGGGTTAGGCTTCGTGGACTGAAATTCTTAAAGAAAAAAAGAGATAAGATGAAGAGAAAAAAGCAATGGATAGTAAACAGATTTTTCAAAATTCTGATCCACATGAGTGAATGACATTGTAAATGGATATGTGATTCTTACTAGGGTACACTCACTCATAAAATTGAGATTGAAAAAAGAAATTCTCACAAGATTACTGGGCCTTCCAGGTTTGATAGGAACCATAAAAACAGGAATATATTCCCAATATGCTTTTTCCTTATGAGTTACTTTTGTTGAAAAGAAGATTCACAGCCAAAAATTCCTGAGTAGTACTCCCAGTCCTGACACTAACTTGTTCAGTGACCTTGGCAAGCTGCCAGTCCGCTGTGATTTCATTTCCTCCTCTGCAAAATTAGCAGAACACTTACCTACATCCCAGATGTTGGAAGACTTAATTAATGTCAACGTTTGTGTAAAAATGAAATGCTGTTTACCCAATAAATGCCTCGTAATCCAGATTTTTTACTCACACTTTTGGCAGGCACCATAGAGTAGAGAAGAAAAAACATTAACTTAGTAAAATAGTTGTTATATCAGGGACTCTTGAAACTTTCCCTGCAGTTTATTAAAATTGGGCAATAATAATAGTACTCATCAAAAATCATTTGTTAACCCCCCATATGGGAATGGTTTCCTGCATATAGTTTACCAAATTTTACATAAGTTACAGTTGTTAAAAATTGATAGCTTCATGTTAACACTAGTCTCCTTACAGAGATGTGCTAATAAGGATAAGGTCATGGGTTTTAGCACCAGTGAAACTACTGTCCCATTCTGCTCCAAGGTCAGAGACAAAACAACTACTCCATCAACCTGACATCTCAGAAATGCATAGCATGAATCACAGAAAAACTAAAATCGGTGAATCAACATGACTCCATCCACGTTTTTAAGAAAACAACCTAGTGTTCCTGTCTTATTTTTTGCCTATCTTATGTCTACCAACACATGTAATTAATCGTTCTTCAATCATAAATTTAAATCATCATTTATTGAGTGTACACTATGTGTGAGGCACTGCACTAAGTAAGCACTGGAAATATAGTGGTTGACAAGACCAAAACTGTCCTCAGTATCACAAAACGTACTCTTAAAAAAAGTATAAAGGCATTAAGCAAGTATGTATAGTAAAATGTTGAATGATCATGACGGAGAAAGTTCAGGGAGACCTAACATTTTTATAGAAACCAGCAAATGTCTCTCTAAGGAGGCGTCATTTCAGCTGTGATTGGATGGTGGAGAAGAGTGTGGTCCAGGCACAGAGAATAGATGCACAATAAACTATGTAAATGAGAGAAGGCATAAGGTTCAACTTGGTTATATCTCATGGGGAAGTAGTGTCAGGAAGGAGAAGCACTTTATCCTAAAGATATTGGGGAGTTATAGAAAATTTTTTTATGCAATGATGTGAAATGACTCTTTTTTTAATCTCTGTAAAGGGTTTTGGAGACCAGATGGGAGGAGAACACTATGGGCAGAAGCATAAGTTAGGAGGTCATCAAAATCATTTCATAAGAGTTAGGGGTAGCCTGATGAGGGTGGTAGCAGAGGGAATGTAGAGAAACAGATTGATTGGACAAGGGTTTGTAAAATAGAACCAGCTGAACATAGATCCTTATTGGGTATTTGGAAAGGGAGTGAAGAAAACGGGCTGATAAAGGAAAGTAAGAATGAAGGAATACTCCAGGGTCTAGACCCTATTCAGGGTCTATTAACAGAGCTAGGGAAAGCTGAGAGTAAAACAGCTTCAGAAGGAAGATGAGTTTCATTTCAGACTTCTTCAGTTTTCAATGCCTGAAAGACATCCTAGGGAAGATAGTCCAGAGGATATTTAATATATGGGTCCCAAGAGTATTCAGGCTGGTGATAAAGACTTGGGAGTCTTCAATATACAGATTGAAAATAAAGCCAAAACAGTAGGTGACATTGCACAGGGAAAGTGTGTAGAGTGAGAACATAAGGTCCTGGAGGGAGACTGAAAAACATCAATGGTTGATGAAAGAGGAAGCAGGAACAACAGAAGAGACTGAACAGGAGAAGGAAAGGAAAGAAGAGGAAAACCAGGGCAGTCATCATCTGAAGCATGAGAGTGTGAGAACCAGATCCTCTCCTCCACTACTTATAGGAAAGAATGCCAGAATAATTTCCATGGCAAGCAATTTGTCAATGTTGGTTAATATTAAGAATTCTCATATCCTTCAACCCATGATTTAACTATTCAGAAATTATTCTCTCTATATATAAGCCTACAAACATGAAATGACATATGGACACCAACTTTTTTTGCATTAATGTTTTCAATAATGAGACTGAAAGAAACCTATAATAAATGGCATATAATATGCAACTGACTAGATAAATTATAGCACAGTTATACAAAGGAATACATCATAGCTTTTAAAAACTACTTTTTAAATATATTGCCTCCAATATATTGTTAAGTGAAAAAGGCAAGCTACATTTCAAGTATAGTAGGTTACCATACCTACATATTATATGTATTTATATATGGTATGTGTATATATATAATATAGTATGTATATATTATATGGTATATAAAATAAATATGTATTATATATAATATAAAATGGAGATGAGTATAGAAAGCCCTTTGTAGAACGTGACTATGAAAGGAAGGTGACCAATGTGGGGAACAGTTGTTGATAATACAGAATCAAGGGCAGCTGGGCTGAGATGACGGACAAGCATATTCAATTTTAATAGGAAGGAGGCAATTGTGGAGGAAAAGTTGTGGACAGAGCAGAGCATGGGGTTGATGGTGGAACTAGGCCATAAGGAAGTAGAAGGGGCTGAGATCTTGGGCATTAAGGAATGATTACCTAAGAGAAGAGGAAAGAATCCTTTTCCAAATGTAACACATGCAAGGAAGAAAAGAATAAGTGTGCATTCAAGCAAAGTATAGATTTTGTATTGAGAAGTTTCAAAAATTGCTTTCAATGTGTTCTATGTTCTTTCTTTACAAGACCTAGACTGCTTGGGAGGTGGTAAGTTAGAAGGCCAAGGAATTTTGAAGAAGATTTAAAATTGTAAATAGAACAAATAGGAAACTTAACTGATTTGGGGAATCTGGAAGGATTGCTGTATGGTGTCAATGTTGAAGATTTCCAATAATACTTATCCTCCTTTTATTTATGACACCAAAATCCTACTCATGACAGTTCAAGAAGGTTGACCAGCCATGCCTGTTTACTTCCCTTCCAATTTCTTACTGAAACAGTAATATTTACAAAAGGAAAATTTTTCCTACAGTGCTGAAGATATCGATCATAAGTAAACTTGAGATTTTGATAAATTTCTGATTGAGGAACTATAGAATAAGGCACTTTAAGCAGCCACAGGACAGAATAAATATGTAAGAGGCTGCAGCAAAGGGTGTACGGAATATTGGAAAGGAACTTTTGCTGAACAGGAGAGTCCAAAGAGTAATTAGGACAGTAAACAAGGAAACCGACTGGGAAGCGCTTCAACAATGACAGGACACAGAGAAATAAGGAAGATGATGTAAGCTGGTAGAGAGAAAGAATATGTTAGGAACAATGAAATAAATTAGATAGTTATGAAATTTCTCATCAGCAACACCACAAGTTAAAAGAAGATGGAAAAATGCCTTCAAAGTCCTGATAGCAAAAATTTTTACCTAAAATTTTGTATTCCATGACATTGTCAAGTATTAAAATAAAAGTACTTTCAAAAGTGCAAAAGTAAGATTCCTAAAAATAAATTTTCTGAATAAAAACATAAACTTACAACATTCACCAGGAGAATAAATACAGTATCCAAGAAAAAGTAGATTTAATTCATGGTTGCAAAGAATAGTAATTTCAGGTTGGCAGTGGTCAATTAACCTAAATCCAAGTAGAATATCTTCAAGAAGAATTACTTTAAAAATGCTATATTTAGAAATTTGAATGATTTTAGTGGTATAGCGAAGTCATAAACATCTTTTATCAATAAGAAAAAAACAAAAGGCATTGAAAACACCAGGCAAACCAGAAATCTGTCTAAGAAATCATGGCACAAATAAAAAACTGCTTAAAGTGGCATCAAAAAGCACCACTGAAAATCGATAGATCAAGAAAAATAAGTTTAAAAGTAACATTTATAATACCAAAAGTTATTACTAATAGACATACTAAAAATATAGTATTAACAAAAATTAAGAGAAATAACGGGCAAGCGGAGATGGAAAATAATTTATGTACATAGTAAATTAAATTTCTTAATCTTTCATAGCAAAAATTCCTTTCTTTTGTGATATATGCAACATACGAGCATAAAAGTTCATACCTTTTAGCTTTCTTTTTCTTGTACTAGTATAAAGAAAATAGCAAACATGGCCAAGGGTGGTTGCTCACATCTGTAATCCCAGCACTTTGGGAGGCTGAAGGGGGCAGATCACCTGAGGTCAGGAGTTCGAGACCAGCCTGACCAACATGGCGAAACCTCGTCTCTACTAAAAATACAAAATTAGCCGGGCGTGGTGGCGCATGCCTGTAATCCCAGCTACTCGGGAGGCTGAGGCAGGAGGATTGCTTGAACCAAGGAGATGAAGATTGCAGTGAGCCGAGATCGCACCATTGCACTCCAGCCTGGGCAACAAGAGCAAAAGTCCATCTCAAAAAAAAAAAAAAAAAAAAAAAAAAGAGAGAGAGAAAGAGAAAGAAAAAGAAAATAGCAAACAGTTTGGAATAAACAGACTAGAGTTAAATCCTGTATCTGTTACTTATAAACTGTGTGTCCATGGGCAATTTACTTAAGCTGTCTGAATGTTACTTGGGGAAATAAATTACAGAGTGAATCAAAAAGCCCAGCATAGTGGTTTACACGTAGTAGATTCTTTATGAATAATTATTAGTATAGCTATTATTACACGTAGAATCTTGAAACAAGAACTTAGCATCTGGTAAGGTTGATTACTACCTATCAACCTGGGATGTAGCTTCATTTAGAAAGTTTCAGAATGGGAAGATCTGTTGTTTTGCATTCATATTTAATGTAATTAATTACTTGAGTAAAAGAACAAAAAATGATTTAGTGTCTCAGTGGATGAAGAGAGGAACAGTGGTTTCCAATCCATGCTACCATAATCCCTGGAGAGCCCCAAAAGTAATAATTGGTATCTCAGACCCAGATGAAATATTTCAAAAATGTAAATGATATTTTACCAGAAGCTAAATAATATACCAAATTTCTTTGCTTTTGCTTGATGCAAAACCACGATTACTTTTGCACGAACCTAATAATGCTAACTCATTTGTGAGTTAGTATCTGTGAGTTAGTATGGGTTAGTTTTTGCTCAATTGGCAGTTAGTTTTATATGCCTTGAAAAATTAAAATTGGAAATTATATTTACTGCTTAAAAGATGAAGTTCCTTTGGCAGAAACAGTTCTTTCATAAGATGAAGCCTGCATAAGAAAAATAATTGAAGTAGCCCTTTAGTATTATTTATTCCCTATACCTCTGGTTAACATAATGAGGGGTTTCCTTGAGCACCCCGGCCCCTTGCTCAACCCTTAGATCTTCCAGGGAAGCATTGGGCCATGAGCTATGAGCCTAGGGTGGGGCTGGATAGCATAGCTTTGGTTCTTCTGCTTCTCTTTCCCGTGCAGGTGGAGAACCCATGATCAGCTGTTCTACTAGTGTCCTAAGTGGTACAAGGAGAGGGCTCAAGCCACTGGGCGCAGCCTGGTGCAAATGGTAAATTCAGTTTGGGTGTTCAGAATGCTCACTTTATTGATGCAATACACGCAAGCTGGGATTTTCTAATCCCAGTTTTTATCGATCAAAGCTTTAAACTGCATCCGCCTACCTGCTGCCCTCTCTCTCTCTCTCTCATTCTCTCTCTCTTTTTTTTAACTAAGGAGGGAGAAAGGGGACCGACTTCCTGAGCTTTCTAAAATTGCAACATAGTTCTAGTTGGGAACAGCTATATTTTTGTTTTAAATGTCATAGAAGCAGCTTGTTAAGCAATTACACACCCACTGAAGGAGATGAACAGAAATGTGAAACATGTTTGAAATGTAAATAGCTGGCTACCTTGTGAGACAACACATGTAACACATAATTAACACAATTAGGCATCTGTAATAAAATTGTATTGAGAGATAAATTTACATGTTTTTATTTTTAGCAACCCATCTTAGTCTGCAAAAAGTGATGTATTCAGCAATGAGGCCCCAAATGTCTTTCCTCACCTTCTTGCCCTGAATTGTGAAACTTTAGTACTTAGGGGGATCAATCCATGTGTTTCTCATTATCATGAATATAACAACAGATTTGTAGCTGCTGTTTTTTAAAAATAATTCTTGCAAAGTCTTTCCATTTTGACCTGTGAAACAAAGAATTGGATGGAGCAAATAAAAAGATAATACAAAGGAATGTATAGCCAGGTTCAGGCTACGATAACATTTGAGGATCAAAATATATACTAAATATTAATGTTAATACTGATCTTAATACTCAACAAAGCTTAATTTTTCTTTTTAATAAAATTAAATAAGTTAGTAATATTTAACTACTCCTAGATGTCTTCCTAAAGTCTAAGTTAACAGCTTCTTAATTGAAAATGCTTTTGATAAATTAAAATAACGACAGGATGATTCTATTTGGTGTAGTACAAGTTGATTTTATTCTTTAAAAAAAAGCATTTTAAAAAGTGTTTGAGATGTTAGTAAAACCAGCCTGCAAACATATTTCTAAAGCCAGTCATAGGCTATAGGATCTCACAAAAGAAAAGAAGGGAAGGAAGGAAGGAATGGAGGAAGGGAAGGGAAGGAAAGAAGGAAGGAAGAGAAGGGAAGGGAGGGAAAGCAAAGGAAGGGAGAAGAGGAGAGGGAAGGGGACGGGAAGGCAGAGGAGGGGAGAAGAGGGGAGAGAAGAGGAGAAGAGGGGAGAGGAGGGGAGAGGCGAGGAGGGAAAGGGAGGGGAGGGGAGGGGAGGGATGGAAGGAGGAAGAGAGGAAAGAAGGAAGGAAGGGAGGAAGAAAAGAGAAAAAGGAGAAGGCTTTAAGATCAATCTTTAAAAAAAGAGTTTTAAAAATGTGTTAAAACCACTCTACAGTTATATCAATAGCTATAGGCTCTGTTATTCAAATTCTTTACTCTGGGAATCAGCAATTTTGTTTTAGTTTTTATAAAAGATATTAAATATGTGGTTAGGATCTAGGTATCTTAATCATTTTTAATGGGAAAGAGTTCATTCAACAAAAAATGGTGTGTTAGGATACATGACATGATATAGAGGCATCTTCATATTATTCTTTAATTTTAGTCAAGTCCATAAATAATTAATTGGTTAATTATGGGTCAATGCCTATTTACAACTAATAACTCAGTTTCTCATAATAATTATAAAATTATTGAGCATTTGCTATTATTTTCAGTTGGTACTTAACATGCAAACCAGATTAGAAGACTCCCTTTAAAAAAATAATTTCAGTTAAATATTCTATTATGTGGGAGGGAAATATACCAGGGTTGAAGTTATAAACTTAAATGTTTTTATTATTTAAAAAAAATAGCCTTACTAACACAGTGACTTTGCAATATCAAGGTGTTTTTACCAATTGCAAACCCATTCAGATAAGTTACAGGAGTCAAATACAGTTGATATTTTTATTTTGGTTTCTTTATTCTAAGTTACTGAGTTTGCATCTTTCTTGATGTTTTACCCGTGGGGTGACTTGACCAGTGTGGCAGCTGGGCCAGTTTTCTGTCAACACAACTCCTAATGTCTGCACTCTAGGTATTCCCCTGCTCCAGTAACTTAAAATGCAGACAGTTAGGGTCCCTAAATTAGACCTTAGTTTATGTTAAGTTCTGCTCACAAAAAAATCATTCATTTGTCCCAGAAGGTGTATTTGAGTCTCATTAAAAAAAAAAAAATGAAAGAATGAAAAAAAAAACTTTTTAAAAGTCAAAATGCGTAACTATATGTCATATTGACAACCCAAGTCAACTAAATTTTCATATTCATGGAAATTTCACATTTATATTTGGATGCAGTAGAATTTCCTAGATATTTAAAGTTTCTGGAATGGAAAGCATCTTAGTTTGCCTCTAGCTTACATCAAAACAGCCTATGTAGAAGCCAATAATTCCAACAAGCTTTTTGGTCGCACACCAATAAACGGTGAGCCTATTTAAACTGTACTTAGTCAAATTATTTTGCATTAAAAAATCAGCATGTATAAATATTTTCAGATTGGAAATATTAAGGCTTCCTTTGAGATAATATGCCTATTATTACATTTTAAAATTCCTTAATTATCAGTTATACAAATTCAGTACTGGATGTGATTGAAGGGTATTTTAATGATGAAAAGCAGACATACATTTTAAATACAATATTTCAAATTTGTAAATAACTTAGAAGTACAAACCACTTAGAATAGCATTATGGCATTGTTATAAGTGGAAGAAAGTACGATTTAATTGGGACAGATGAAGATGAAGATTTAATCCTGTCCATTTTTCTAATGTTTAGATTCATAAAAATATTCAGTAGTGGATAATGAATTAAAATTTTGTTTTTCAAAGCAGCTTTTTCAGTCTGCAGAGATGTATATTGCCTCACTGGGCATTGCCAGGCATTCATTAGTGAGCAAGTATAAACTTTTCACCTCCCACCTCCATGGGACAAGAAACCATTCATAAACATAGGAGGCACCCACAAATGCAAAGGTGAACATACCTAGTTTTTGCTGCACATCAGAAATCATGCAATTTTTTGTCAAATTTTTGGAAGAAATCCTGTTAGTTTAGAAACCCTCTGGAAGAAAAAATCAATTGGCTTTCGAACTCATAATGTATGTCCATTAAAAAAATGTTTTAAATATTTATATCACTGCCTACAAAATACAAAAAAAAGGCAGCTCAATTATTTAATTAAAAGTTTTAAGGTGGGAAGTATGCTACTAGTGTTCTGGAGGGGAAAAAAGCCTATTACTAAAACATAAACTCGGCGTTTACACATGTGAACCTATTTCATGGAGTAAGAAAATAATGAAACAAAATAAAAATGAGAAGGAAAGAAATTGAATAAAACAACTAATAAATTACTGGTTTGATCCAATTTTGTGCTTCCCTTAATGGTTGTGTTGGCATCATATAGACACAGACTGTGTTTGTGACAGTTATATGACTTCTCTATGGCTACAAACATTTTTTAATGTAAAATTTTAAAAAGTCATCTATTAATAATTCCACAGTGCCCCAAGTGTCCGAAAAGACAGATTCACAATGAATTCCTGGTTTGTGCAAAACACTACCCAGCACGCAAGTTCTTATATATTTCACAATGCTTCAACTTTAAATAGGGAGGAATACCAATGGGTCTTAAAATATGAGAAATTTGCTTGAAAAAAAAAACTATTTTTCTTTGTTACTTTCTTTCTTTTTTTTTTTTTTTTTTTTTTTTTGACAGAGTCTCACTCTGTTGCCCGGGCTGGAGTGCAGTGGTGTGATCTCTGCGCACTGCAACCTACATCTCTTAGGTTCAAGCAATTCTCCTGTCTCAGCCTGCCGAGTAGCCGTGACTACAGGTGCACTCCATGATGCCTAGCTAATTTTTTTTGTAAAGAATACTATTTTAAGAAAACATTTTAAAGGTTAGTCAGTTACACAAAACAATGAACCATTACGCATATACATATAATGACCTTATCAGAAGATCTTATTATGATCTTCTGATTTTCTTAAAACAAATCCAAAATCAATCTCAATGGTTCATTCTCTATTCTACTTCCCCATAACTTTCATACAGAGGCCCTGTTGCAATGTCATCTTATTGGTCATTTCATTACTGAGGAAAGAAAATAATATGAAGTAGATTCCAAGTGTCTTGCTAGAAGATACTAGCCCACCTTATTCCTGTGACTTGTCTGACAGATTTGTACCTTTACCATCTTCCCCTTGCCAACCTTCAGATTCAGCACAATTTTAAATGTATTGCCAAATGACTTTATTTTTTATTTGTAGATATTTAGGGGTTACAAGTGCAGATTTCTTACTTGCATATATTGCATAGTAGTGAAATCTGGGCTTCTTGGGTAACTTCCACCCAAATAATGAACATTGTACCCAGTAGGTAATTTTTCAGCCCTCACCCTCTCCCACTCTCCCACCTTTTGGAGTCTCCAGTGTCTATTATTCCACTCTGTGTGTCTGTGGGTACCCACTGTTTAGCTCTAACTTATAAGTGAGGATATGTGTATTTGCCTTTCTGTTTCTGAGTTACCTCATTTAGGATCATGGCCCCAGTTCCATCCATGTTGCTGCAAAAAACATGATTCTATTATTTTCATGGCTGAATAATATTCCATGGTGTGTATACCACATTGCCTTTATCTAATCCTCTGTTGATGGACACTTACCTTGATTCCATATCTTTGCATTTGTGAATAGTGCTGCAATACACAAAGCAGTGCAGGTATCTTCTTGATATGATATCTTTCCCTTTGGGTAGATACCCAGTTGTGGGACTGCTGGGTCGAATGGTAGTTCTATTTTTAGTTCTCTAATAAACCTCTACACTGTTTCCTGTAAAAGTTGTACTAATTTACCTTCTCACGAACAGTGTATAAGCATTCTCTTTTCTGGGCATCCTCATCACCATTTGTTGTCTTTTGACTTTTTAATAATAGCCATTCTGGCTCATGTGAGATGGTTTCTCATTGGTTTTGATTTGCATTTCTCTGATGAATGGTGATGAGCATTTTTTCATGTTTTTTGGCTGCTTGTATGTCTCCTTTTGAAAACTGTCTATTCATGTCTTTTGCCCACTTTTTAATGGGGTTATTTTTTTTTCTTGTTGAGCTGTTTGAGGTTTGTAGACTCTGGATATTAGCTTTTTACTGGACTTGTAGTTTGCAAATATTTTTTCCTATTCTGTAGGTTGTCTGTTTACTCTGTTGATTTTTTTTTTTTTTTTTTTTTTGAAATGGAGTATTGCTTTGTCGCCCAGGCTGGAGTGCAGTGGCACGATCTTGGCTCACTGCAACCTCCACCTCCCAGGTTCAAGTAATTCTCCTGCTTCAGCCTCCCAAGTAGCTGGGACTACAGACACACGCCACCACACTCAGCTAATTTTCGTATTTTTAGTAGAGGTGGGGTTTCACCATACTGGTCAGGCTGGTCTTGAACTCCTGACCTTGTGATCTGCCCACCTCGGCCTCCCAAAGTGCTGGGATTACAGGTGTGAGCCACCTCACTGGGCTGATTGTTTCTTTCTTTTTCTTTTTTTTTCCATTTGTTTGTGTCCTCTCTTATTTCCTTGAGCAGTGGTTTGTGGTTCTCCATGAAGAGGTCCTTCACATCTCTTGTAAGTTGTATTCTTAGGTATTTTATTTTCTTTGTTGCAATTGTGAATGGGAGTTCACTCATGATTTGGCTCTCCCATTTCCTCAGCCCTCCCTCTCCATCTGCCCCTTTCCTTTACAGCCCCGGGCTTTCATAGGGTTGGCTTCATGGCTCCATATCTCTTAAACTAACCCTGATCCCAACACACCTTTCCCCACCCCAGCTGAGTAACATCCACTTCAGATTTAAGCAAGATGATTATCATTTCCTCTTGTCCCTCCCTCTGACCCTGAGGGCAGTGGTTCTCAAACTCTATGGCTTCAAGACCTCTATCAAACCTTAAGTATGTCAACTCTGATTTCTTTGAGCAGTAGTTTGCAGTTCTCCTTGTAGAGATCTTTCACCTCCCTAGTTAGCTGTATTCCAAGTTATTTTATTCTTTTTGTGGCAATTGTGAATGGGAGTTTTTTCATGATTTGGCTCTCAGCTTGGCTCTTGTTGGTGTGTAGGAATGCCAGTGATTTTTGCATATTGATTTTGTATCCTGAGACTTTGCTGAAGTAGTTTATCAGCTTAAGAAGGTTTTGGGCTGAAACAATGAGATTTTCTAGACATAGGATTGTATCATCTACAAACAGGGATAGTTTGATTTTCTCTCTTCCTATTTGAATGCCCTTTATTTATTTCTCTTGCCTGATTACCCTGGCCAGAACTTCCAACACTATGTTGAATAGGAGTGATGAGAGAGGGCAAACTTGTCTTGTGCTGGTTTTCAAGGTGAATGCTTCCAGCTTTTGCCCATTCAATATGATGTTGGCCGTGGGTTTGTCATATATGGCTCTTATTATTTTGAGGTATGTTTCTGCAATACCTAGTTTATTAAGCATTTTTAACATAAATGGATGTTGAATTTTATCAAAAGCCTTTCCAGCATCTATTGAGATAACCATGTGGTTTTTGTCTTTAGTCCTGCTTATGCAATAAATCACAATTATTGATTTGTGTATGTTGAACCAAACTTGCATTCCAGGAATGAAGCCTACTTGACCTTAGTGGATAAGCTTTTTGATGTGCTGCTGGATTCAGTTTCCCAGTATTTTGTTGAGGATTTTTGCATCAGTGTTCATCAAGGATTTAGGCCTGAACTTTTTATTGCTGTTGTTGTTGTTGTTGTTGTACCTCTGCTAGGTTTTGGTATCAGAATGATGCTGGCCCCATAGAATGACTTAGGGAGGAATCCCTCCTCCTCAATTTTTTGGAATAGTTTCGGAAGGAATAGTACCAGCTCTACTTTGTACATCTGGTAGAATTCAGCTGTGAATCTGTCTGGTCCTGGGCTTTTTGTTTGTTTGTTTGTTTTAGGTTATTTGTTACTGTCCCCATTTCAGAGCTTGTTATTGGTCCATTCAGGGACTCAAGTTCTTCCTGGTTCAGTCTTGGGAGGAGGTATGTGTCCAGAAATCCTTCCATTTCTTGTAGATTTTCTAGTTTATGTACATAGAGGTGTTTACAATATTCTGTAATTGTTGTTTGTATTTCCGTGGAGTCAGTGGTAATATCCCCCTTGTTGTTTCTGATTGTGTTTATTTGAATCTTCTCTCTTTTCTTCTTTATTAGTCTAGCTAATAATCTATCTATTTTATTAATATTTTCAAAACATTAGTTCTTGGATTTATTGATCTTTTGATGTTTTTTCATGTCTCAGTATCCTTCAGTTCAGCTCTGATTTTGGTTATTTCTTGTCTTCTGCTAGCTTAATTAATATCATTAAAATGGCCATACTGCCCAAAGCAATTTATAGATTCAATGCTATTCCTATTAAACCACAATTGACATTCTTTACAGAACTAGAAAAAAACTATTTTACAATTCGTATGGAACCAAAAAAGGAGCCTGAATAGCTAAGGCAATCCTAAATTAAAAGAACAAAGCTGGAGGCCTAATGCTACCAGACTTCAAACTATACTACCGGGCTACGGTAACCAAAGCCACATGGTAGCATTACAGAAACAGATACATAGAGCAATGAAATGGAATAGAGAACCCAGAAATAAGACCACACACCTACAACTATCTGATCTTCTACAAACCTGACAAAAGCAAGCAATGGAGAAATGATTCCCTATTTAATTAATGGTGCAGGAATAACTGGCTAGCCATATGCAGAAGATTGAAACTGGACCCCTTCCTTACACCATATACAAATATTAACTCAAAATGGATTAAAGACCTAAATGTAAAACCCAATAATATAAAAACCCTGGAAGACAACTTGGCAGTACGATTTGGGACTTAGGCATGGGCAAAGATTTCATGAAGGAGATGCCAAAAGCAATTGTGACAAAATCAAAAATTGACAAATAATATCTAATTAAACTAAAGAGCTTCTGCACAGCAAAGAAAACTATCAGGAGAGAAAACATACAACCTACAGAATGGGAGAACATTTTCGCAAACTATGCATCTGATAAGGGTCTAATAATATCCAGCATCTACAAGAAACTTAAACAAATTTAAAGAAAAAAACAATCCCATTAAAAAATGGGCAAAGGACATGAACAGACACTTTTCAAAAGCAGACATACATGTGGCCAAGCATATGGAAAGAAGCTCAACATCACTGATCATTAGAGAAATGTAAATCAAAACCAGAATGAGATACCATCTCATACCAGTCAGAATGGCTATTGTTAAAAAGTCAAAAGACAGCAAATGCTGGTAAGATTTTGGAAGAAAAGAAATGCTTATGCACTGTTGGTGAGAGTGTAAATTAGTTCAACTATGTGGAAGAATTCTGTTATAAAGACACATGCATGCATATGTTCATTGCAGCACTATTCACAATAGCAAAGACATGGAATCAACCTACATGCTCATCAATGATAGACTGGATAAAGAAAATGTGATACATATACACTGTGGAATACTATGCAGTCATAAAAAAGAATGAGGTCATGTCCTTTGCAGGGACGTGGATGTAACTGGAGGCCCTTATCCTTAACAAACTAACACAGGAACAGAAAACCAAATATCATATGTTCTTAGTTACAAGTGGGAGCTAAATAATGAGACCACACAGACACAAAGAGGGGGAGAACACACACTGGGGCCTATTGAAGGGTGGAGGATGGGAGGAAGGAGAGGAATAGGGAAAATAACTAATGTGTACTAGGCTTAATACCTGGGTGATGAAATAATCTGTACAACAAACCCCTGTAAAAATGCAAGTTTATCTATGTAACAAAACTGCCCATGTACCCCTGGATTTAAACTAAAAGTTAAAAAAAAATTTCATATGACTGAGGACCCTAAAGAGCTTTTGCTTATGTGAGTTACAGTTGTCACTATTTACGGTATTAGAAATTAAGATAGAAAAATTTTAAATATTTATTTACATAGAAATGACAGTGCTAAGCCCCCAATAATAAATATATTAATGTAGGTAACATTTTATAAATAACTACATTTTTTGAAACAAAAAAGTAGAAAACGGCATTGTTTTACATTTTTGTGACTCTCTTTTTTTTTGACGGAGTCTTGCTCTGTTGCTCACTGCAAGCTCCGCCTACTGGGTTGGCGCCATTCTCCTGCCTCAGCCTCCCGAGTAGCGGGGACTACAGGTGCCCGCCACCACGCCCGACTAAGTTTTTGTATTTTTAGTAGAGACGGGGTTTCATCATGCTAGCCAGGATGGTCTTGATCTCCTGACCTCGTGATCCGCCCACGTAGGCCTCCCAAAGTGCTGGGATTACAGGCGTGAGCCACCGTGCCCGGCCGCGACTCTTTTTAATGTATGACTTTTTTTTTTATATACTTAATAGGAAAAAGCTGAATTCTCATATCTGCTTCTGCATTCAATCTGTTGTGATATGCAGTTTGAGTTGAAGTACAGTATATTAAAATTTGGTCTTACAAAGATATGGGGTTAGAAAATGAGGGCTGATATTTTAATAGTCTTTCCAATAATTATGGCTATTCTTCAGTAATACAATAAAACTTGAGAAATGGTAGTTCCTAAAAGTTAGTCATAATATGTAATCTGAAACACATCAATGCAATTTTTATATCTGTTTTTACATCACAATCTTTTGGTCATGCACTTTGAAAGAATATTTTACCTATGCATGGCTTGTGGTATTGGTCATAAGGAAAATATATCAGTTTGCTAAGTTATGCAGCTCTTTCAGATGTTAACACATTTCATTATGTAATATAAAAAATCACACTCATTAATATCATCACGGATCTTGACAGAAAAGTCTTGAAGTATCAAGAAGCTGTTAAGATCCTGGTGGTGAATACAAGTTTTTAAAAATTCCAATTTTTATTCAAAAAGCTCAAATTTTATCACAGGCAACAAACACTATCAGTTGTTTTCCTTGAAGTGACAGATTCTTGTTCATCTTCAAGAAAATGTCTGCCAAATATCCATGTATGCAAAACCGTATTTAGTCTGTCAGGCATTCTTTCAAATAAAAAGATACATAGAGCATTGAGTCAGCTTGTCATTCTAACAATCACACAGGTGCTTTTCCTGGGGATATCACCCATACTTCAGTGGTGGCAGAAGTGTGTAAAAGCCCATTTTATCACACAGAATATTACAAATACACTAACTTAAGTGTTGATATTTTTAAAAATTAATACTTCACCCAGGATATTCTTTACCCAGAGAAACTGCCCCCTACCCCTGCCACTGAGATGTGTGCTGGGGAAGAAGACTGCTAATAGAGCGTGGTGTCTGACTCAGGCTCCTGTAGTTTTGCCCACCTTTGCTTTTGTATCATCAGTGCAAAGATACACAGTGAAAGATACATCTTGGTATCACTGTGCAAATAGCTTCACCTCATGCCAGGATTTCAGAGACTCCCAGGGATCCATGGACCAGTCGTTGAGAATGCTTGGTCTAGGGTTTTCATGCTTCAACCTTTCTCAGGGTGAAAAAAAAAATTGGAGAAGAGAGACTTTTCCAGGGAGGAGTAGCAGGTAAGGACAATCCCAGGGGAAATCTGGAAAGTTGAAAGGTTTTGATCATATGATCCAGGAGGGGCCAAGTCCTGAGACATAGAAGGGGAGGTGGGGAATTGTGGGCTGATTGGAAGTTGGTTCTGATACCTTCAACTTTCAAACTACATGGTAAATTATGGTGAAAGCATCAGGGCTGAAGGGAAAGGTGGAGAAGGCCACTGATGCCTAGCACAGCCACCTCCACTCCTAAATAAATTCAGGGAAATCTCAGCATGGGTGCTAATGTGGTAATAGTTCTCCTAGCTCAGCACCTCTCTAGGCAGCATATTCAACTGTGACCTTTCAAAAACCACCATCCTCTAACCTGGGAATTGACCATTTTTTTCTGTGAAGGCCAAAGAGTAAATATTTGATATTTTGTGGGCTATACTGTTTCTGTGCAACTAATGAACTCTGTGGTTGTGACACATAAGTCTCCACGAATATATGTATGGACCATGAAATTTGGATTTCATAGAATTTTCCTGTGTCACAAAATGTTCTTCTCTTGATTTTTTTTTCAGCCACTTAAAACTTTTAAAAACATTTTTAGATTACAGGCTGTAAAAAAACAAAACAAAACAAAACAACAACAACAACAGAAACTGGGCTGCATATGGACCGTGGGTAGAAATTTGCAAACCTCTGTTGTAATTCAAACTTAATGGCAAAAATTTGGAGTGCCGTGAAGGGTAACTTGGATAAATGAAGGCCTTGTAATATTCCTCCATTTATACCTCCATTTCAGGCTGGCCTTTTGCGGAGTACAGACTGCATTGTTGTTATTTTATTGTGTTTTATTTTATATTTTAGAGCTAGGTCTTGCTATGTTGCCCAGGCTGGTCTCAAACTCCTGGCCTCAAGTGATCCTCCAGCCTCAGCCTCCTGAGTAGCTGGGATTACAGGTGTATGCCACTGTACCTGGCTTTGCATTGCTTTTATAACGTCGGTGATACAATTCACAAGGTATTGAGACAAAAGGTCATGAAACATAAATTATACAACACAACATAGCATAACACATTGTAATATATTGTGATAAAAACACGGGTGATGTATTTATTAAATTCTGCCAGTTCTCATCCATAGAGATCGTCCACAAAATGGTATTTGCACCAAAAAAAGGGAAAACGACTAAACAGATGACTCCCCTCTGCTTTTGGTCCCAGGCAGAATTTTTTTTTTAAATCTGAAAGCAGAAACATGACTTTCCCTAAGCAACTCAGTTCTGCAAGATCTAACCTGTTAAATAATGCTGTTGTGAAAGCTCAGATTAAGTAACTGGATTTTCTTTATCCCAAGAAGGCCCTCCCTGCCTCTTCAGAGTTTAGCAGCTCTGTAAGCCCCAGTTCAAATCTTATGTTCTCTATAAAACCTTCCCTTGTCTGAGTCAACTCATATCTGAATTCCTAGGCATTCATTTATGATACTATTTATTTGACAATTATATACTGATTTATAGGGTCTTTTCTGGTGTTTTCTTAAACAAAATTTTTTGATTCTTGAATAGTTAACTGTAAACTCCTAGAGAATCACAATCCTCTTCTAGTTTCTTGTATTTTCTATGTCCCTTCGCATAATGTTTCACTCATAGTAAGAGCAACTCAATAAGTACTCAGTTAAAAGCAAACACAAGTAAAAGAATACACTTTTTGGCTTATTATTCTTCAGGACTTCTCCATTCAATTTCTTCTCTAGTCTAATTTCTCAATTAGTATGCATCTTGCTCTAGACTTTTTAATCTACTCAGGAATTTTTTTAATCCAACATGGAATTTACAGACTTGTTAGTTTATTTGCTTTTTCAGCACATTGATAACCCTTGACTGAAAGCACTGGTTCTCCAACATTCTGTTGAAATTAATTTGGTGCTCCATGAGTCGAAGCTAGTGAAACCTCATGACAGTGGATTTCCCTGCAAAAGTCCTTCTTTGCTCATAATGAGCCAGTATTAATGTTTCACAACTTCTTGTGCTCAAATTAGATCTTCATAATGGCATAACAGAAAAAAATGGCTCATTGGCCTAACACACAAAAATAAAACCAGAGAGGTTAAATAATGAAAACTATACAGACCGCTATGGTAGAGCCACAAAGTATCTCTCATATTTTTGACAAATGCAGCTATTACTGTTGGCTAATCATGACTGCTTTTCTGGTTTTTTCTTTTCAAATTACTCATCTAAACTACATTGAGGTATCATTTTGATGTGGACAGAGGCTTTCTGTCATGCTTAGCTTGGTTCTTACCATGAACCAGTTTGATTAGACCCCTGACCTTCAAAAAGCTTCTGGAGTTGAATCTGGAAAATGGGTATAGACTTAGAATGCAGGTACAGAGTTAGCACTGGAGAAACGGTGCTGGAAAACTGTATCAATTTTTAAAGGAAAATTGGCAAATCTATTGCAATTTTATTTTACTCACTGTATTACCTGTAGGCCATTAATAAAATAAAATTTATCTGGCAACTTGTCTTTGATAATCAGTGATGTGACTGAAAACTGAAGTTGGAAACTGTGTTTCTAAAGCATGTTGTTTTGTGGTGTCATATTTTTCCATTTCTATTGTCTTCCAATATAGTCAATTCTTCTTTAAACAGTCAATAAAATTCCTCACCATTCTGTGACTCCGATGACTAAATTCATGGATCCAACAATTGTCTAATTTAAATTGGAAGAAACAACAGGAAGAAAGGATACGTTTTAATTTTGCCCACGTAGGTAGTCTCTTATGTCTTTAGGAATTGAATACCAACTTTTTTGTTACCTATCATTTTTATTCTCAGATAAGGAGTAAAAACACAAATTTTATATAACCAGATAGTTATTATAAAACTAAGCCAATATCTTTGTCTTTCTTCTTCTTTTTATTTTATTTTACCTTATTTTATTTTATTGTGGTAGTAACACTTAATGTGAGATCTACCATCTTAACAAATTTTACATGTGTAATACACATTGTTAATTATAGAGATAATGCTCTACAGCAGATCTCTAGAATTTATTCATCTTGCGTAATTGACACTTTATGCCCATTAATTAGCAATTCCCATGTTCCCCTCCCCCTGCCCCTGGCAAGCACTATTCTACTCTCTGATTCTATGAGTTTGACTCTATGAGATGCCTTATATATTATAATCATGCAGTATTTGTTCTTTTGTGACTGGCTTATTTCACTTGGCATAATATCCTCAAGATTTCTCCATGTTGTAACATTTTCAGTATTTCTTTCCTTTTTAAGGCTAAATAATATACCACAGTATTTATACACCACACTTTCTTTATCCATTCATCCTTCAGCAGACATTTAGGTTGTTTCTACATCTTGGCTATTGTAAATAGTTCTTTAATGAACATTGGAGTGCTAATATATCCTCAAGATTCTGATTTCCATTCTTTGAGATATGTATGCAGAAGTGGGTTTGCTGGATCAGATTTATTCTATTTTTAATTTTTCGAAGAATCCCTATATTTTCCATATTGACTTCACTATTTAGCATTCCCACCAAATACGTACAAGGGGTTCCAATTTCTCAGCACCTTTGTCAACACTTTAGTATTTTGATGTTTGATAATAGCCATCCTAACAGTGTGAGGTAATACAAAATAGGATATTACATATATATTATAATATATTACACATATATTATAATATATGTGTAATATATTATAATATACTACACATATATTGTAATATATATGTAATATATTATAATATATTATAATTATCTCATGGTTTCAATTCACCTTTCCTTGGTTATTAGTGATATTGAGCATTTTTTTCATATGCCTGTTGGCCATTTGTATGTCTTCTTGGGAGAAATGTCTATTCAAGTCTATAACCCATTTTTTTTTATTTTTGTTATTGAGTTGTGAGAATTTCTTATGAATTTTGGAAATTAACTTCTTATCTGATAAATGGTTTAAAAATATTTTTTTCCCATTCAAAAAGTTGACATTTTAAATATGGAGTGTTTCCTTTGGTATGTACAGACTTTTTGGTTTGATGCAGTCCAACTAATCAATTTTTGCTTGCTACCTTGTGCTTTTAGGGTTAGATCTATGCAATCATTGCAAAGACCAACATCATCAAGCTTTTTTTCATGTTTTCTTCTGGAAGTTTATGGTTTCAGGTCTTATGTTTAAATCTTTAATCCATTTAAAGATAATTTTTTGTGTGATATAACAGGACAATTTCATCCTTTTGCACGTGGATATTTAGTTTCCCGAACAAAATTTGTTGAAGAGAATATTCTTTACTCATTGTATATTCTTACACTCTTGTTGAAGATCAGTTGACCAAAAACGTGCAGACTGATTTCTGGTCTCTTTAATCTATTCTATCGGTCTATATGTCTGTCCTTATGCCCAGTACCACAAAGTTTTAATTACTATAGAATTGTAATATATTTTTAAATTAGGAAGTGTGATGTCTCCAGATTTGTTCTTCTTGCTCAAGGTTGTTTTGTCTGTTCAGAGTCTTTTTTGGTTCCATATGAATTTTAGTGTCTTTTATCCTATTTTGTAAAAATATACCCCAAGAATTTTGATAGGAATTGCATTAAATTTAGAGATTACTTTGGAAAGAGTGGACATTTTAACAATATTAAGTCCTCCAATCCATGAATATAGGTTATCTTTCCTTTTGCTCATGAGTTTCAAAATTTCTTTTATCAATGTTTGATAGTTTTCAGTTTAATAGTCTTTTACTTTCTTAGTTAAGTTTATTCCTAAGTATTATTTTTGGATAGTATTTTGTGAGCATATAGAATTGTAACTGGTTTTTTATGTTGTTTTTTATTCCGTAATTTTACTGAATTCATTTATGTTCTGACAGGTTTTTGTATTAGTTCAGTGCAAAAGTAATTGCGGTGTTTGTCAATGGCAAAAACCACAATTACTTTTGCACCAACATAATAGTGTACTTAGGGTTTTCTGTAAATAAAATCATGTCATCTGCAAACAGGGACAATTTTACATCTTCATTTCTTATTTTGGTGTCTTTTATTTCTTCTTCTTGCCTAGTTGCTTTGGATAGGAATTCCAGTACTATGTTGAATAGAAGTGGTGAGAATAGGCATTCTTCTCTATTCCTGATCTTAGAGTAAAGGCCTTCAACTTTTCACCTTTGAGTATTATGTTAGCTGGGGGCTTTTCATGTAGGTCCTTTATAATGTTGAGGCAATTTCTGTCTATTCCTAGTTTGTTGAGAATTTTTGTCATGAAAGGGTGTTGAATTTTATCAAATGCCTTTTCTGTATTTATTGAGAAGATCACGTGATTTTAGCCTTCATTCTGTTGAAGTGGTGTGTCACATTAATTGATTTGCACGTGTTTAACCACCCTTGCATCCCATCTAACTTGGTCGGGGTGTATGATCCTTGTAATCTGCTGTTGAATTTTGTTTACTAATGTTTTGATGAGGATTTTTGAATCTATGTTCACCAGAGATATTGGGCTATAATTTCCTTTTTGTGTCTGGTTTTGTTATCAGGGTGATATGGTTTGGCTGTGTTCCCACCCAAATTTCATCTTGAATTGTAGTTCCATAATCACCGTGTGTCCTGGGAAGGACTCTGTGGGAGGTAATTGAATCATGGAGGCGGTTACCCCCGTGCTGCTGTTCTCATGATAGCACGTGAGTTATCATGAGATCTGATGGCATTATAAGGGGCTTCCCCCCTTTGCTCAGCACTTCTCTCTCCTGCCACCATGTGAAGAAGGATGTGTTTGCTTCCCTTTCTGCCATGATTCTAAGTTTCCTGAGGCCTCCCCAGCCATGTGGAACTGTGAGTCAATTAAACCTCTTTCCTTTATAAATTACCCAGTCTCGGGCAGTTCTTTATAGCAGCGTAAGAACGGACTAATACACGTGGTAATGCTGGCTTCACAAAACTACTTTAGAAATGTTCCTTACTCTTCCTTTGTTTGGAAAGAATTTGAGTAAGATTGGGGTTAATTCTTCTTTTAATGTTTGATAGAGTTTACCCATAAAGCCATCTGGTCCTGGGATTTTTATTGTTGTTGAGAGGTTTTTTGTTTTTGAGACAGAATCTCGCTCTGTGCCCAGGCTGGAGTGCAGTGGCGCGATCTCTGCTCACTGCAAGCTCCGCCTCCCGGGTTCATGCCATTCTCCTGCCTCAGCCTCCCCAGTAGCTGGGACCACAGGAGCCCGCCACCATGCCCTACAATTTTTTTTTTTTTTTTTTTTTTTTTTTTTTTTAGTAGAGATGGGGTTTCACCGTGTTAGCCAGGATGGTTTCGATCTCCTGACCTCGTGATCCACCCGCCTCGGCCTCCCAAAGTGCTGGGATTACAGGCGTGAGCCACCGTGCCCGGCCGAGAGGTTTTTAATTACTTCTTCTATCTCCTTACTAGTTAAAGGTCTATTTAGACTTTCTATTCCATCATGATTCAATCTTAGTAAGTTTTATGTTTCTAGGAATTTATCCATTTCTTCAAGGTTATCCAATTTGTTAGCGTATAATTATTCACAGTAGTATGATCCTTTTTATTTCTGTGGCATCAATTTCTGTTTTTCCTCTTTCATTCTGATTTTATTTGAGTTGTTCCTTTTTTGTTAGTCTAAAAGTTTGTCAATTTTTCTTAGCTTTTCATAAACCAACTCTTAGTTTCACTGAATTTTTTCTGTTATCTAGTTTTTATTTTTTAAATTTACACTCTAATCTTTATTCTTTCCTTCTTTCTGCCAACTTCATTCTTAGTTTCTTCTTCTTCTGCTAGTTTCCTGAAGTGTAAAATTAGGGTACTTATTTGAGGTCTTCTTTTTTAATATAGGCATTTATCACTATAAATGTCCTTCCTAGTACTACTTTTGTTCTGTACATTTTTTTCTGCAATATTTTTATTTTTGTTAGTCTCAGGGTATTTTCTAATTTCCTTATTACTTAAAAAAAGTGTTTGTGTGTGTGTGTGTGTGTGTGTGTGTGTGTGTGTGTGTGTGTATGTGTGTGTGTGTGTTTTAGAGAAAAAATATTGCTATATTGCCTAGGCTGGTCTTGAACCCTTGAACTTGAGTGATCCTCCTGCTTCAGCCTCCCAAGTAGCTTGGACTACAGGCACATGCCACTGCATCACCTCTGATTATTTTCTTTGACCCAATTTTGATCAAAAGTACATTGTTTAGTTTCCACATATTTATGAATTTTTCAGTTTTCATTCAGCTATTGATTCCTGAGTTCACTTAATTTCTTCAAAAAAGATACTTATTATTTCAATATATTAAAATTTGTTAAGACTTGCTTTGTGACTTAGCATCTGATCTATCCTAGAGAATACTCCATGTGCATTTGAGAAGAATGGATATTCTACTTATTATTTAAATATTTTAAAATTTGTTAAGACTTGTTTTGTGACCTAACATGTGATCTATCTCAGAGAATACTCCATGTGCACTTGAGAAGAATAGGTATTCTACTTCTATTGGGCAGAACATTCTGTATATGTCTGTGAGGTCCATTTGGTCTATAGTGTTGCTCAAATCAGCTATTTCTTTGTTGATTTGTCTTTGTTTGATCTGTCTAGTTGTTCTATCTGTGGTTGAAAGTGGGGATATTGAAGTCTCCTAGTATTATTTTGTTGCTGTCTATTTCTTCCTTCAGTTCCATCAATGTTGGCTTTATATATTTAGTTGGTCTGATATGAGTGCATTTATACATGCTCCTCAATTTGCAATTGGGTTACATTTTGATAAACCTATCATAAGTAAAAATACCAAAAGTTTAAAATGCATTTACTATCTCAATAAACCCATCATAATATTAAACAATTGTCAATCAAATTTTTATTAAGTCCAGATGCTCCTTAAGTTATGATAGGCATTCTTCCCCATAAACCCATCAGAAAGTCAAAAACTCATAAGTCAAACCACCATAAATTGGAACTATCTTTATATATTTGTAATTATTATGTCTTCAGAGTAAATGAGACTTTTTATTAAATAATGTCCTTCTATCTTTGCCAGTTTTTGACTAAATGTCTATTTTGTATGATATAAATATTGCCATCCTGCTCTCTTTTGGTTGACATTTGCATGGAATTTTTTTTTCATCCCTTCACTTTTGGCCTGTGTGTGTCATAAATCTAAATGAGTTTCTTATAGACAGCATAGAGTGGGGTCTTTTTTATTCCATTCAGTCTCATCACTGGGAAATTTAATCCACTTACACTTCAAGTAATTGTTGATAGGGAAGAATTAGCTACTTGCCATTTTGTTACCTGTGTTCTGTTTGTCTTACAGATTTTTGTGTCCTTTTTGTCTCTCTTGTTTTCTTTCTTTGCATTTTGTTGGGTTTCTGTATTAACATGCTTTGATTCTTTTCTCTTCGTGTGTGTGTTTATAACCTCTATAGATATTTTTGTTGTTACTTTGGGGCTAAAATAAAATGTCTTATTGATATAATAATCTATTTTAAGATGATAACAGCTCAATCACATATAAAAACTCTACACCTTACTACTGCCTCCCCATAGACTTCATATTACTGATGTCACAATTTACAGCTATTTATTTTGTCCATCCATTGACACATTTTTAGTTAGTTATTTTTAGTCACTTTTTTCTTTTGAATTTATACTCAAATTAAAAATGACTTATCTACCACCATTACAATAATATAGTAGTCTACATTTCTCTATGTATTAACCTTTACCAATGAGTTTTATACTTTCTTATAGTATCCCATTGTTGTTTGGCATCCTTTTGTTTCAACTGGAAGAAGTACCATTAGCATTTTTTGTAAGGCAGGTCCAGTCGTGACCAAATCCCTGAGTTTTGTTTGGCAATGTTTTTATCTCTCCTTTATTTTTGAAGAATGTTTTTGCAGAGGTTAGTATTCTTGATTGGAAAGGTTTTTTTCCAGCATTTTGAATATATCACCGCACTTTCTTTTGGCCCCCAGGAAAAAAAAAAAATCTGTTAATAGTCATGGGAGTTTTCTTACATGTGACAAGCTGCCTTTATCTTGCTGCTTTCAAAATTCTCTGTCTTTGACTTTGACAATTTTAATATAATGTCTGTTGATGTGTATTTCTTTGGATACATCTTATTTGAGACTATTTGAGTTTCCTGGATTTGAGTGTTCATTTTGTTTCACAGATATGGGAAGTTTTCAGCTGTCTGGGGGTTTTTCATATATGCTTTCTGGTTCTCCTTCTCCCCGCTCTCTCTCTCCTCTCTCCTCCCCCTGGAAAATCTCTTGATGTGAATATAGGTCTGCTTGATGGTATCAAATAAGTTCCTTCAGCTTTCTTCATGCCTTTTTTTTTATTATCGTTTTCTCTTTCGCTCCTTTGACTGAATAATTTTACATGGCCAGTCTTTGACTTCACTGATTCTTTCTTCTGCTTGATCTAGTCTGCTGTTGAAGCTCCCTAGTAAATGTTTTAGTGCAGTTAATGTACCGTTAAGCTCCAGGATCTCTGTTTGGTACCCTTTAATATTTTCTATATCTTTATTGAAATTCTCATTTTGTTCATGCATTCTTTTGTTAACCTTGGTGAACATACTTTATGGCAGTTATTTTACATTCTCCATCAGGTATATCATATAACTCAGTTTCCTCTGGGTCAGCTTCTGGAGCTGTATTTTGTTCTTTTGTTTGGAACATATTTCTTGTTTCTTCATTTTCCCTGACTCTATGTTGGAGTCTTACACATTAGACAAAACAGCCACCTCTTTCATATTGGCCTCATACAGGAGAAGACCCTCACGAATCAGCCTTGCTAGGGATTCTAGGAGCCTTTTTAACCTTCGTGCACATTCAATCCCCTTTCTTTGTTCTTAGCAGCCCCCAGGCATCTAGAGTGCACTAAGTCCTGTCAGCACTTCAAGAGAAGTGGTACTGAAGTCACTTCCACGGACAGGCTCCAGAAAAGTTGGATCATTGGACACTCTGTCAAACTGTTTCTCTTCCCTGGGAGGATCTAAGATCTGGGTTTTTGTTTTGTTTTGTTTTTTGTTTTCCTCTTTGCTGATCCAGAGAAGGGGCTATGAGAAGTAGATAAATGCTAGTTCGAACCATCATCTGTGTCCTCACTTGACCCCCAGCTGGGGTTGCCATCAGCACTCAAGACAGGCGAGACAGAAGTCAGTCCTCTGGGTAGTCCCAAGAAAATTGGGGTCATTGGACATGAGATCCACTTGTTTTCACCTCCAGAAGAAGCTTGAAGGTAGGATTCTTTGTTTGCTGTCTCTGTGCTGAGGGGATATAGGGTTATGGTGACTGCAAGCCCACACTGCCATTTCTGTTCTCCCTGACTTCAGTCAGACTAAATTATGCTGGGTCACATAAGTACTGTGGGATGGACTAGACAGAAGCCAGTTATTTGGGAAGCCTCTGAAAGAGTTGGGGAATTGGACATGTGGTCAACCTCTTTCTCTCCCTAGGGAGAAGCTTGGAGCTAGGACTTTACCTCCCAAGTCTATGGAGCTCTGACAGAGGTAAGGATTATGGCAAAAGGGTATATCAAATTTCCGTACTGCTCTCAGTGTGGGTAGTGTGATCACCTGATTCAGAAATCCTCAGCTAGTTGCTGAATTTCTCACAAAATGAATTTGTCTGTGAATTGTTGAATCACCGTGGTCATGGAGGGAAGGAAGAGGCTTTGTATTCTGCCATCTTGCTGGTGTTCTACCACAATTTTAAATGTAGTTTTTTTTAACCCATCAGTTACACTTTTAGCATTTGATTCTACATATTTATAGAAGTAAATCAAGAAATATAAACGATAATATTTATTATAATTTACAGTAGGAAAAATATGAAACAAACAAATGTACATAAGAATGGAAATTGTTTAATAAAATATATTATTTTCATAAAATAAAGTACTGTGTTTATATTTAAAAATAAGATAGGGTTGTATATGATGATATTTAAAAATTTTTATGAATTACTATTTAATAGTTAAAAATTAAGGTGCAATATGGGGTAATTTTATTTAAGATTAGTGTGATTTTATTTAAGAATACAAAAAGGACATTACATATATGGGTTTATGCTAAAATATTTTCACTGTCTCTGAGGATGCTTGTGAAATTGTTAACTGTGGTAATAGTTACTGAAAATGATTAGGAAATTAGATAAGAAGACATACTTTTCATTGGGTGCCTCTGTTATACTATGTGCCTGATAAATACCTGCTATACATGTATTGTAAACATTAGATTTGAACTTGTAGCTGTCTTTGGCAAGTAGCAGATGTTCAACAACCGCCCATTTCCTTTACCTTACATGTATGTCAATTCACAGAATCCATTCAATACTTCGACAGACTTTTTTTTCCAAAAATGTTTATTTCAACTTAGAAAATGCATAAACTGTGAAAAATTATCAAATCTATATTGCTATTCCATGTATTTAATCTGCACAGCTAGCATTTGTATTACCTGCACATATATTTTATTGTTTTGTTTTCTAGATTCATTTGAGTGCTAAAAATATAATAAATCTGTATTTTAAAGATTTCTCTTAAAACAGTTTCGAGTTTAGACTGGAGAATATATTTCACACAGGAATTTTAAAAATCGTCTTACTGATATTGTTTCTTTAGGTAAAAACACAAAGTGGCATGATGCCAATTCAGCATGACTAATGAGAAAATAACATCCCATCTCACCTTCTAATGGTCTACTTAATACAAAATAAGAGCGTCCTCACCAAATCCACACCAAAGAGGAAAGGACAGGAGAGCAAGGAGAGAGGAGGGTGGATTGGCGGGGACTAAAAGGAGAACAGTAGGGAAGGGAAAGGAGGCTGGAGGAGAGAGAGGGGAGAGCAGAGGCCACCATGATATAGGCCAGAACAGAAGTCAGAAGTGTGTTAAAGTATGACTCATCCCATCTGCATTAACTTTTGCTATACATGAATTATCACCTTTCTACTTTAAGATATTTCCACTGATTTAAAAAATCAATTTTTAATTATTTAGTGTGGCTTGGATCATCTGTCAGAAGTCATGATCTAAACAACCTCATCTGGCCAGGCACAGTGGCTCACATCTGTAATCCCAGCATCTGGGAGGCTGAGGTGGGCGGATCTCCTGAGGTCAGGAGTTCAAGACCAACCTGGCCAAGTTCAACATGAGTGAAACCCTGTTTCTACTCAAAATATAAAAATTACAAAAATTAGCTGGGCGTGGTGGTGCATGCCTGTAATCTCAGCTACTCAGGAGGCTGAGGCAGGAGAATTACTTGAACCTGGGGGGCGGAGGTTGCAGTGAGCTGAGATTGCGCCACTGCGCCCCAGCCTGGGTGACAGAGCGAGACTCCATCAAAAAAAAAAAAAAAAAAAAAAAAGGAAAGAAAGAAAGAAAAAGAAAGAAGAAAGAAAGAAAAGAAAAAAAAGAAAAGGAAAGGAAAACTCATCTCAGTGTATTTCTATGGCAACCTCTGAAAACCAAATATTGTTTAGCATTAAGCTATTTCCACATGCTAAGAAGAGATTTAGACTCTATAGCTGTGGACCATGATGCCATGTGTCTGCTGCCAACTGCACTTCATGGCAACAAGGGAGGCACTGTTAAGGCAGCTTGGGTTCCTCAGGAGCAGGTCTATAGAATGCTTTTCTGGAATGCAGGTAGACAAGCCTTGTAAATACACAAGGCTATAATAAAACCTGAAAGCTCCTTTGGGACCATGTACGGCTGGAATTTTCATCTTAACCTATGCTTAAGGCATGCTCAGGCGAGGGGAACATTTACAAAGCAGTGTGTTGAAACCCTTTTATACATGGACACAACCTGATATGGAAATATTACAGAAAGCTACTTGTGTACTGTTTGTTAGAACTGGAGGGGAATGAAAGACCTACAAAGGAAACTTTAAACATAGCCCTTTCATTTAGGGATGAGTAAGCAAAGAGTTTTACTGACTTGCTTAAGTTGATACAACAAGTTATTATCTCATATTTCAGAAAAGAACCTAGGTCTTATCACTCTCAAGGTAGTTGCATGAAATGAACAAAAGGACATCCATTAAAGAAAGCATTTACTACTTGTAATAAACTACTTGTAATAAAGGTGACATGAACACTTAGAATAATCAAATGTAGAACCATACTTAATCTCGTTTAGGCCATTTGACTCTCTCTCCCACCAATCATTCAGTAGGGCCAAATTACTAATCTGAATTCACTCATATTCTTTTCTTCACGAATTTAGCAAACTCTTAAGGAATAGAGAAGAGTTTCAAAACACTAGAAGCTCATGGGCAAATGGCATGGTTGTAACCCATGAAAATGGTAACTGCTGGAGGTATGTGTGGCTTGTTATTGCAACACAGCAGAGAAGAACCTTCATTTAGACAGGGGATGTCATAAAGGCTTCTTGAGAGGAACATTTTAGCACACCTTGAAGAGCAAGTAGGAAATAGCATTAGACCAGGGAGAAGGACACATTCAGTGAGAGGGAATTACATACGCAGTGACTTGGAGAAATGAGAAGTTTCATGAGAACAGACTGCAGCAGGAGTTGCGAAAGTGTAATCTTAAGTGACAGGGCTAGAAAGGCAGACACAGAATATACAGAGCTTTGGCTGCCATGCTGGATTTGAAGGTTGACTGGGAGACTTCTGAAACAGTCCCTCTGCAGCTGGGTGAAAGATGAAACAAAACAAGTACAAGGGCATCTTTCCAAAGACCACTAAAGATAAGTGAGACATTATCAGTACATGATCTGAGGCTATCCAGTGAGTGTGGTTAGAGAGGAATGGAGAGTTTTGAGAATTATGTAGGACAAAGAAAAACATGTGAGTAGCAATCAAGTCTTCTTGCTGTCAGCAATGCGTTTCTGAAGTGGAATATAGTGACAGTGGCTAAGCCAACACCCTTAATTTTCCCTCCCTGTTCTCCCTTGGGATATAGAACAGAAAGAGTTGTTTAGCCTTGGCAATTTTCTGAGTCTAGTCATATCTACCATGTGATATTTACTCAAAGTTTACAGGGCTTACGAAATTTTGCATTTTAACACCTCTGTACATTTTTTAAAGAAAAGTCATGAGACAGAAAATTATTTCATTATCCAATTACCATTTTGATGTGAAAGTCATCATTTATATTTTTCTTAAACTTTTATTTTATTTTATTTAGATGAAGTCTTGCTCCCTCACCCAGACTAGAGTGCAGTGGGATGACCATAGGTCCCTGCAGCTATGATCATAGCTCAAACTCCTGGGCTCAAGCAATCCTCTCACCTCAGCCTCCCAAATAGGTAGGGCTACAGGCATAGCACCACCATGCCTGGCTAATTTCTAATTTTTTTATTTTTATTTTTTATTTTTTGGTACAGACAAAGCCTCGTTATGTTGTCCAGGTGGTCTTGAAATCCTGGCTTCAGGAGATCCTCCTGACTTGGCTTCCTAAAGCACTGAGATTATAGGCATGAGCCAACATGCCCAGCCATATTTTCCCTAACCTTTCCTAGTACCCCCTGTTGAACCTTATTTTAAGTGCCTATTTTCTGGACAAAAATCTGATAGGAATTTATATTTCTAGCATGGCACCTTAGATAATGTGTTACCTTCTTTTTTTTGGAGGGAATGTTTGTTGGGACATGAAGATCCTTGCAATATGTTCCTTCCAAACCTCTCTACTAGGAAAATAGCTACATGTAAAGCATAAAAGTTTTATACCTGAGAGATTTTCTCTGATCCTCAGCCATCAGGAAGCCCAGAGCAATGGTGTGATCCACCTTTATGCACTGGGTAGAGCCGTGGGGTAGATATTTGTGTGTATTAATTTTCACATTAATTGACCTTCATTTTCATTCATTCAAGTTCATTTCTATTTTTTAGAAAAATCCTTTCATGTTTATGTAAGTTATCTAAAATCCTTTCTGGATGCAGTAGGGTATAAATTATGAGATGGACTCCATAAACTGTAGCAGTCAATAAATATTATAAATATTCATTGTTATAATCATGGAATATGTAGACAGTGCCCAACCGGAATAAGAGCAAAGGTGATGAACTTCGGTCACATTGCTGGGTTGGGCATCCACTGTGCTGTCTATTAGAGGAAGCGCTTCTTCCCACTCTGCTTCAAGGAAATAATGAGATGCCAGTATTGAAGTATCTTCCAAGGAAATCTTCTAGACTGAATTGAATAATTAAATTAGCTGTTTGCTGAGGTTAACCAGGCTTCCCTAATTAGTAACACATCTGCTCTTCTCCTTAATGTCTAAACCTGTCTCAGTTTAATAGGGTTACAAGTGTTATCAATAGGCTTTCTCTCTTGAGTTCATATGAAAATAAAATTTATCCTCTGCTAAATCAGAGTGTAAATAACTAATCCCTATGCTACTATGAGGTCTGGCTGAGGAACTAGAGACAAGGGATAAACTGATATTGCACTTTTCAAAAAACGAAAAGAGTATTAAAAATTAGTATATTTGCCTGCTGAGATAAAGAATCCTGGAAGAGCCTTTTCGGAATCACCCAGGCTCTAACTTGAAAATGAAACAATTAGCTGGAGTTTTTTTCTCCTTCTCTTCCCTCTACCCTACTTTCCTCCTTTTAAAACTCAATTACTTTCTGTAGTGGATGATGCGGTATACCATAAAGATGTCCCCCCTCCAGAATTGAGGTATTCATTTTCCCAGCTACTTAGCATGTTGAGGCTGAGGCTCTGAGCTGAGCACCTCTTCAGGAATTGGGCTTAACTGAAAACTGCTCAAAGGCACAGTAGAAGCCAGGAGAAATGGAACCATATGCTCAAAGTGCTGAAAGCAAATAACCGTCAACCTAGAATCCTACAACCTGCTACATGATCATTCAAAGATGGGAAAAGCTGAAGAATTTCATATAAGCAAAGAGTAAGAGAAGTTTCAATTAATAGATACTCACTGAAAAAAAACTACGAAAGAAGACATTTCAAGGAAAAGGAAATTGAACCCAGAAAAACGAGTGAGATGCAAGAAAGAATGAATGGTAACAAACATGTTAGAAAATCCATACAACGCAGTAATCGTTAACAACCCATTACAGCATAGGGAAATGCAGCAGATGTGCTGAGCAGCAGCATCACACAAAATGATGGAAGGTGATGAGACAAAGTACTCTGAGATCCCTGAGTCAATTGGGAGGTGGAAAGAGGACATGGGTAACTTCAGACCTATGTACATTAAAACCATAAGGATAACCACTAAAAAATACTGAATGTGTAACTTTCAGACCAGTAGTGGAAAATAAAATGGACCTTGATCAATCCATCACAGAGTATTAAGAAGAAGACACAGACAGAAGGATAACATAAAGGCTGTGATGAGCCCTGGGAACCCCTTTCTGACTGAGCTATTCATTGTGGGACCAGGAATGTTGGCCATTGATGGCCAATCCTTGAAAGGAGATACTGTGTTCAAGTTTACACCCTCTCTCTGGTGACAGCCACCTCCAGTGACAGTCAAAGCAGGTGGGTGATTGCCCAGCTTCCTTGCCTCAAGATGAAATATCTCTTCAGAGCCATCTGAGCTCTTGAGCTTCCGCATGGGAGAAGCTGAGACTTTTGCTGCAAATGCCTCATAGTTCAGTTCTTCTCTTTGCCCAGTCCTGCCTCCTTAAGTCTTTTACATGTATTGATCATGAGAGCATCCCCCAATATAGCTCCTGCATATAAGTTTCTATCTTAGATTTTTTTTTTACCCACGAGCCTGGTCTAAGACAGTTATCTCATACATGCTAGGCAACAGGATAAAACATGAGCAGAAAATAGGGTATAGCAAAGGAATTTCAAAGCTAATGTCAGAAAATAGCTGTAGATTCTGAAGTGAGACTTGACACTTACACCAATGCGGCCTTAGATAAACTCCTTGAGCCTCAGTTTTTTTTTTCATCTGCAGAATAAGATCGATGGGGTAGTTAAATAGGAAGTGCTCAGTGGTGTTAGATAATATTATTCACTGCATGTGAAAATATAATACTGAGAATATCAAAAGAAAAAAAAAGCTAAAAGTGCAATGGCTTTGTTTTGCCTAAAAGACTTTGAAAGAGGTGATATTGAAAAATGAGTAGGACAGTGTCAAACAGGAAAGAGTTGGAATATGCCAAGTAGAAGAATGAATATGAGCCAAATCATGAATGTGTGGGAAATTAAATAATTTGCTTGGGATGATGTATAAATAGAAGTGGCAGGAACTGGAGCTGGAAAGATTGGAGCTAGCCTATGCAGCTTGGATTTTATTCTGACTTATGCAATAGAAGATCCCAATGCCTTTATAAATAAATGTGTGATGTAATCAGATTTAAATTTGTTAAAGGTGGTATCCTGACCCCCGTGGCAAGGATATATTGAGAAGCTAAGGAGAATCTAGAAGCCAAAAAACATACATGGAGCCTATTGCATTGGTCCAAGCTAAAGATGGGAACTGCCTGAACTAGGGCAGCGGCAGAAGAAATTGAGACTGGAAGACAGACTTTTAAAAACTCCAGAGGCAAAATGAAAGGCATTTAGGATGCATAGGTGAAAAGAAAGAAAGAAAGAGGAGTCAAGGACAGTCTCTGAGTGTGTTAACTTAAGTACGAGATTGAGAAAAGGGAAAGGCAAATTTTATCTACAGCATGATCAGTTTTAGATATTAGATTAGCAAAGAATTATATAAGGAGACTGGAGTGAAAGAGGCTAAATACAACTTCAAACAGAACAATACTGGAACAGTGGGGTCATTGTGCATAGAGAAACAGTCATCTGTCAGTGTGTCTGCAAAATGATTTTCTACCTGGTTAGGTTAGCATATGGAAAATATGTGCTTCTTTTCCCATGGAAAAAGAACACTTAGACACTGCATAACTAGTCATACTGCTTCATTCTGAATACCTGAATGTCGGTTTTCAATGGACAATTCAGACTGGTTTTCATGCACTGTTCACTGATAATTTATAATATGCACAAATAGTCTTCTCGATTAGATTTATATCCATGCATTTAAATTAAGATCCACTTAGACTGATGCCTCTGAGTCTAGCTGAAAAGATGCCAAAAGTAAGGCTTTTAAGTTTTCAGACTTTTGGGGATTAATTCATCCACCAGAAGCACAGTAATTCTATATGTCCAAGTTTGGATGTATTTGCTCCTTCTGAAAGAAACAATGATGACACTATGCTGACTTTGAAAATGAATCAAATAGAAGGAAAAGCATCATGCAAAGCCAAATTGAGATTCATTTGCACATATTTGGGACTTAAAAGATTTTTGCCATCATTTGACAGGAGCCCTGTTGGAAACTATTTATGAGTCATTTCTAGTGGGCTTTTTAAGGGAGACTCAGCTTTGAATTGCACAGAGCCCTGAAACAGACGCCTTTCTTTCTATAATTGTCTCTGTCTCTGAAGCCCCTGTCAGCAGGACAACTGCAAAGCCATCTTCAAATCCAGTGAAAGCATGAAGCCCAAGAAGAAATTTAGCACTTGAACACTCAACTCAAATGGCTCAATGTGAAAGAAGGCAGACTAGAAAGAAATTTTAAGATTTCAACTGGATACAAAATCATTCATTCTTAACACCTTAAAATGGCTGCCTGTGAGAAATTGTACCACTAAAATTGTTTATAGTATTCTTAAATATCAAATAGTTCCAGCGGCAAATTTATAGAAAATTGTAATGGTATTTCATGAAAAAAAAAATGAGCGTGACTGTCAAATTGTATTTCTTACTATCTTCCGCTCATTCAGCAATTGACCACCTTCTGGAAAGATCGGGCTGTGCGTCTGTGTTGAGGTTTCTCCAACTAATCAGCAAATATTCACTGAAGTCCTAAGGTGCTGAAATGTTCTTGATCAAAGGAAAGTAAAATGTTTTTATCATAAATATATTGACCCTTATGTTTCAAGAACAGCAGACTGTGTCACATAAAGACACTGCAAAAGATGAAGCCATGTAGAGCTAGCTATACACCTCAATCTTTGTAAATCTGGCCCAAAGTGAGTCTCCAAGGACCAACATGTCCAGCTGCTAGTGCTGTTTTTAGCAATTCTAATTGTCCATTTTAAGCTTCTAAACAAACTTCTTTTATTCTATATTTGTCTAAGTTTAAAAGTCTAGAACGAACAGAATCATATCAGTGCATCTGTGAGGTTTGAAACCTGTCCCCAAACTTTTAAAACATTTTTCCCATTGAGAGATGGTGCCAAAGTCTCTCCTAGAATCTGAGTTCTCATTACCTGACCAACACAATACCAGTGGAGGTGGTGCTGTGCCAGTTTCTAGGCCCAGGCATTACGAGCCTGGAAGCTTCCACTTACTGTTTCTTGGTACACTTTTTCTTAGAGCTCAGCCACAATGCTGTGAAGAAGCCATGCTGCCCAGTGGAGATGCACATATGGAGGAAAACCCACAGGAAGCCACTGTCCAGGGGAGTAAAGATGAGCTCTTCTCACTGAGACCTCTAAATTGAGATTCGTGAGGAAAAGACAATCAAAATATCAAAATTATCAAAGACATTAAACCAAAACAAATTCTAGAGTTATATGTATATAACTGATGCATATGCAATATATAAACATGTATTATGTATGCATATATAATTACATTATATGCAATATGTAGAATATATATTATATATACATGCTCTATAGAGAAATGTAAAACCCAATGAAGGAATTAATTAGCTGCTTAGATAAAATTGAAGAGAGGTTTCAAAAGCAAGAAATTAACTGGAAAAATTGCATCAAATATAACATAAAAGCAAAGATGGATAGAAAACATGAAGGAAAGGTAAAGAGAAAGATTTATTATGAGAAATGAGGAAAAAGCAACATTTGAATTGGTAATTGCTGAAACATCTAGATTTAAGAAAGGCATGTTTTCTCCATTAAAAAGTTCAAAGTGTTAATCCCAGCCATTTGGGAAGCTGAGGTGGAAGGATCGCCTAAAGCCAGGAGTTCACGTCCAAACTGGGCAACATAGCAAGACTCTATCTCTTAAAAAATAAAAAGGCCAAAGTATTGAAAGCAGGATAAATCAAAGGAAGTCCATCCACAATATGTTAGTCTAAGTGCAAGCCATGAAAGACAAAACGGAAATCTTAAAAGTAGCCAGAAGGAAAACACAGTTGACCTACAAATGAACTGAAATTAAGCTGACAACCTATTTCTCAACATCTCAACAACAGTAATGAAAGACAAAAGATAGTGGTCAAATATCTTCCACATACTAAGAGAAAATAACTTTCTGTCTAGAATTGCATTCTCAAAAAACAATAATTCCAAAACTAAAAGTAATTTTAGGTAAACAAAAACAGAGAAGGTGTATTATGAAGGAGAACACTACTTTCTCACTTGCAATATATCATTCATGGTAGGTTCCTCTAAAGGAAGCTAAATTAGTATAATTCTAGGCTTTCCTTTGTCTCTTAAATTAAGAAGATTGGCCGGGCGTGGTAGCTCAACCCTGTAATCCCAGCACTTTGGGAGGCAGAGGCAGGTGGATCACCTGAGGTTGAGAGTTCAAGACTAGCCTGACCAACATGGAGAAATCCCATCTCTACTAAAAATACAAAATTAGCGAGGCATGGTGGCAGGCGCCTGTAATCCCAGGTACTCAGGAGACTGAGGCAGGAGAATCTCTTAAACCCAGGAGGTGGAGGTTGTGGTGAGCCAAGATTGCGCCATTGCACTCCAGCCTGGGCAACAAGAGTGAAATTCCATCTAAAAAAATAAATAAATAAATAAGAAAATTTAGGCAAGTCCAAGGAAAACAACTTTACAAGGAGAGTTCTTCTTTATACTTGGGAGAGAGCTGCTCACAGAAAGCATATTTTTTTTTCAGCTCATCCAAGGACAGCACATCTGCCAACCATCACACAGCCTCGCAGTAAAGGAAATATTGTACCCATTACATTTACCCAGGATTTATTTTTCGTCTCTCAGAACATGGGTAAGGAAAAGGATGCAAATCACTAGGAACCCTTGGAAAACTCCAGCCACCTACAGATCCTCACTAAAATAACGTGGAAGGGATAGACACAAAAAAGAAAAATGAGTCCAGAAGGGCCAGGCGTGGTGGCTCACGCCTGTAATCCTAGCACTTTGGGAGGCTGAGGCAGGCGGATCACGAGGTCAAGAGATCGAGACCATCCTGGCTGACATGGTGAAACGCCATCTCTACTAAAAAAAATACAAACAAATTAGCCGGGTGTGGTGGCAGGCGCCTGTAGTCCCAGCTACTAGAGAGGCTGAGGCGGGAGAATGGTGAACCCGGGAGGCGGAGCTTGCAGTGAGCCGAGATCACTGCCACTACCCTCCAGCCTGGGAGACAGAGCAAGACTCCATTTCAAAAGAAAAGAAAAGAAAAGTGGGCCTAGGAAACTCTTGGATGCCAGAAAAACTGTGATTAAATTATTAAAATGTAGGTAAGAATATACAAATATTGACTGTATAAATCAATGTTATCGATAATAATGTTTAAAAATCTCCATAGATTTTAAGTCTAGACAATACTAGCAGCGTAAAGTCTTTATATTGTTGAGAGTAGATATTCTGTTTAATTTAGATTTTATTAAGTATGTATTATAATGCCAATGGCCAAGACCAAAAGAATTTTTTAAATAAATTTTATCTTCCAAAGAATAGTGAAAAATAGAATGAGGAAAAAAAAAAAAAACAATAACTCTAACCAAAGGCAAGAGAAAAAAATTAAGCAGAGAAAAAAGGGATGAGCAGAAAATACAAAATAAAAGGTAGGATGAATATTGAATATTATAAACATTGAAAATCTTCAACTATCATAACAGAAATACACTAGAATCAGATAAATATCCAATATATGTGAAAATTAGAAAATAATTTGAACCAAATGAAAATGAAAGCACAAACCATTAAAATTTGTAGATGGTCACAGAGGCACTGAGGAGAAGCACCAGGAGAAGAAGGTACCAAGAAAATGGAGGCAAAGATCAAAGCCCCTACAAACTCCAAATCCCCAGGATCCTCAGGACCATGAAGAGCTAAGACAGACACAAGGGTGTCTCTCAGAGCCTCCAGGAGATGCCAACCCACGCTGCTGACACCTTGACTTCAGATTCTCACCTCCTGAATACAATTGAGCCAGCTTTTGTATAATCAGCCTGGGCAACAAGAGCAAAACTCCGTCTCAAAAGAAAAAGTATTAATATCAAAAATTAAAGTGGAAATATTACTACAGAGACTAAAGACATTAAAAGAATGACAAGAGAATGCCTGGGATGGACAACTCTGTGTCCAGAAATTAGACATCTCAATTGAAATGGATCTGTTCTTCTGAAAACGTAAGTTATAAAAACTAATTCAAGAAGAAACAGATAATCTGCCTATACCTGTGCCTGTTACATAAATTGAAATTGTAGTTAAAATTCCTCACACTTCAAACAACCCTTCTGTGCTGGTGTTGCTGGAAAATTTTACAGAACATTTAAGAAAGGAATAATATAAATTCTACACAATCACTTCCAGAAATTAGATAAGAAAGCAAAACTTTCCAACCTATTCTATAAGGCCACCTTTATTCTAATACCAGTATCTACCAAAGACATCACAAGAAAACTTTGGACACAGTTTCCTCGTTTACACAGATACAAAACTGAACATTAACAAATCACATTCAGCAGCATATAGTAAGAATTCTATATTATGACTAACTTGGGCTTATTTTGGGAATCCAGGGCTGCTTTAATATTGGCTAATTAATGTAATTTTATATAGTAGTGCACTAAAGGATGAAAACGAAATAATCCTCCCAATGAAAGAGAAAAAGCACTTGAGAAAACTCAACATCCATTCATGACAAATACTGTCAACAGAGTCAGAATTAGAGAGACTGCTCTTAACGTGATCAAGGGCTGCTACCAAGAATCTATAGCTAACATTATAAAATCAAGAACAAGGCAAATATATCAACTCTCACATTTTTATTCACCATCTCACTGGAATTCCTAACAAGTGTCAAAATGCAGTAAAAACAAATGAAAGACATATAGATTTAAAAAGAAAAAATAAAATTTTCTCCATTCACAGAAGATAGGATTGTCTATGTGGACAGTCCCAGAGAACGTCCAAGAAAGCACCTAGAACTCATCATTAAGTCACAGGATACCAGGTAAATAGACAAAAATGAACTCTAATATTGTATAATAACAATAAACAATTGGAGTCAAAAATTTTAAAACAGTACCATTTACAAAGCATAAAAATATAAAATACTCAGGTAAAAATCTAAGAAACATTGCACATATAGCAGAGGTTAAAACAATAATATCATTCAGTGATAATGATGATGATGACAACAGTAATGATAATAATAGAATCAGCTAACATTTAGGTAGTGTTCACTCTATACTCACACAATTCTATGTAATTTACATAGATTAGCTCATGTAATTCACACATCCTTGTGCGGTAAATAGTATTATTCAACCAAGTGCTCTATTCTTGATTTACTGCTAAATCCTCCTTGAATCTTTAGATTTCATAAAGACTGTCATGAAAGTTTTGGGGGTAGAAAATGTAGCCTATTTCTTACCATCTCCATTTTATAAGTAGACATACAAAGACACTAGAAAACATAGCGATGTGCCTGATGTTGAACAGTAAGAGTGAAACCAAGGTTTGAACACAAGCACTCTGATTATTCTCTCTGCTCTTATTCAGTATGCTATGCTGCCTTCATACAGTCACCTTATCTGTCTTCTTAACCTTGCCCACATGGCTTCAAATAATATCTTCATTCAGATCTCTTCATTTAAATCAAATTAATGAATGTTATTTTGTGCCAGAACCCTGAATAATACATTTCAACAGGAGTGGCTCTTTGAAACCAAGTAGCCGAAGAATACTCCCAGTATGATATAATTTTTACAAATTTAAAAACACGAAATTAAATAATACATTGTGTGATTAAATAATCATATGGGGTAAAATTACAAAGAAAACGCAGGCAATGTTTTAAAAAATATCAATTCAGGAGTATACTCACATAAAGGTGGGGGTGGGCGAATGGGATAAGGATGCATGAGGACCTTCAATGTTAATAATCCATTTCTGGCCGTGCACAGTGGCTCACACCTGTGATATCAGCACTTTGGGAGGCTGAGGTGGGCGGATCATGAGGCCAGGAGATTGAGACCATTCTGGCAAATACGGTGAAACCCCGTCTCTACTAAAAATACCAAAAAAAAAAAAAAAAAAAAATTAGCCAAGCGTGGTGGCAGGCACCTGTAATCCCAGCTACTCAGGAGGCTGAGACAGGGGAATCACTTGAACCCAGGAGGCAGAGGTTGCAGTGAGTCGAGATTGTGCCACTGTGCCACTGCACTCCAGCCTGGGCAACACAGCGAGACTCCGTCTCAAAAAATAATAATAATAATCCATTTCTTCAACTGCGTGATGGAAGGTTCTACTTTCATCTTTTTATTTTATAATATACTATTATATAAGTATCATGATTCTGTACTACCTAATAAAAATAGAAAACACCCACATCCCAGATGTGATATAATTTTTAAGTTAATAGTATAAAATTAAGGTAAAGATGACTAGTTCATTCATTTAATAAATATTGATTGAATATCTACTATGTCCTATGCATGGTTCTAGGTAATGAGGATTCAGCATTCTGGGATGGGGGACACACAAAACAATAAACAGTAAATAAGTAAATTATACAGTGTATCAGATGGTAGTAAGTGCTATGGAAAAAATAAAGCAATGGGACAGAGTCCCTACTGGTGATGTATAATCATGTTTTAAAGACAGGTAAATAAAAAATTATTAACTTAGGTGAATAAGAAGGGCAAGAATAAACTCAATCTGTAAAGACAAAGCTATTAATTTTTGTATATTTATTTGGAACCATTCACTTTACTACACAGGCTTATTTTTGCTAGTGGTTTTTCACCCCATTTTCTTGAGAGAATATAAAATCACTAGCAAATAATATATGTCACAAATTGAGGTGTAGCGGATCAAAGTGAGACAAAATTCAATATTTTTATGGGTTATTCCCAAAGGTGTGGGTAGGAATCACTCACCTAACAAGTGTCTATTGATGGTTATTGTACACGAGGCCCTGTGATAAGCACTGAAGATAAAGTGACCCAGCAAAAATGGCAGTCTCAGACCTCAAAACACTTACCTTCAAATGGTGGTGTGAGACATTGGTTAAGTAATCACACCCAAATGCAAAAATGTATGGAGAAGTACATTCGGCTAAGACGGCATATGATCGCAGGAGTACCTAATCAGGGAAGACAAGGAAGGCTTTCCTGTAGCAGGGACACTGGACCTGAGGTCCTGTGAAAGGGTAGAAAGAAGGAGATGGTGGAGCAGGACCAGGGGAAAGGACTGAAAGCATGCCCTGTGCATGGGACGAGGGGTGCTCAAAGTCAGGCTGGAGATGTGGACAGAGGATCCTGCACCATTCAACGTGAGCACCAACAGTGCAAAGGCCCTGCCTAGAACAGCATAGGGCACAAACAGGCACTCCATGAATAGTCAGCAAGTAAGTGAAGGGCCACACAGAACTCTGCACCCTTGACTCATGAGGGTTTTCCTTTATTCTAATAGAAAGGGGCTTGGGGAAGGGAAGAGATAGGATCAGATTTGCTTTTCCCAAAGACTACTCTGGTGTGATGTGGAAAATAAATTGGAAACAGGCCTGAGAGCACAGATCTTGAGTCCTCCGGAGGCTCCATCTGAGTCCAGATAAGTGACAAAGTGGCAGCATTGTAGTGGAGGCACAGTGAAGAGAAGTGGACAGACACAAAGACATGCAGATCAAGTGGGCAGAATTTAAGGATGAATTTGTACTATCCATCAACCATAAAACCTAGGAGGAAGGACTTTTTTTCAGCAACACACATACCCAATATCTTATTAGCACAATAAAGGTTAATTTTTAAAAACAGGAAAAGAAAGGGAGAAAAAAAGAAATCAAGATAGTATGAAATGGTGATTCACAGAAAAATGCTTGGTGGCCTTAACAAGTCTTGCTGAGGCAGAACTCCTTCTAGACTCTGCAATTACATTATACTGAACAAGCACCTTCAATAGATAGCTTATCATTCACCAAAATTTGTGGCACTGTCTTGTCAAGTAGTTTCTCCCTTCACCACAGGACAAATAACCAGAAGATGAAAATTTCCCCACTTGGATGAGCATTCAAAGTCAATGGCATCTTTTACCCATTCTGACCTATAGACTCCGTCTAATCCAATAGATGGCTCCCTCAAGAGTGAAAGCATATTTACTTCTAAGTGATAGGACTAGCACTCTAACCTCTGGAAAAATGAGCCCTTCACTTAAAACATTAGATAATACAAATCTGATTCATTAGTGGACAAAACAGACATACTTAGCAAAAGAGTGCGAAGCCCTGGTTTTTCACATCTTATTTCCAGCAGTCAAAACACATACACTTTGGTACTAATCTAATAACTTTCACCCAGAGGCTGACAATATATCTTACTGTGTTTCAAATAAATAGCAGACATAGTCCACAGGCTGTCACATCATGCTGCAGAGCAAACAGGGTTATGATTGTACTCAGAAAAATAAAATAGCACCCAAGGAATGAGTTTGCCAGCAGAGGCACCCGCAAGGGCAAATCTGTCAAAAGCCTCAGGAAGCACAAGTCCACAGTTATTATTTTATTGGGTTGACTATCTTGGGGGATTAGAGCTAAAAGCTTTATACATCCAGGTTTTCTAGCTTAAATCAACTGAAATCCTGAATAACCTTTTTAAAATTCAGAAAAAAGATTGTGTTGTCCTAATATTCGAAGTTATTTATCTGACGAAGCAATTATTACTCTGCTTCATGCAGACATTGGACTCTATTAATAACCAAATAGTTTCTCAAGAAATGTTAAAACTTAGAAAGCTGAATTCAACCAGCCTGACCGACATGGAGAAACCCCGTGTCTACTAAAAATACAAAATTAGCCTGGTTTGGTGGTGCATGTCTGTAATCCCAGCTACTCAGGAGGCTGAGGCAGGAGAATTGTTTGAACCTGGGAGGCGGAGGTTGTGGTGAGCCCAGATTTGCCATTGCACTCCAGCCTGGGCAACGAGAGCGAAACTCTGTCTGAAAAAAAAAAAAAAAAAAAAAGCTGAATTCAACTGAGAATTATTCAGAAGTGTTGATAATCCTAATTGACTACAGACAAATGCAAATGCATGTGAGCTGAAACATGGTACTCTCATCTTTAGAGTTTTTATCTTGAAACAAATAAGGGGAGTAGGTCACGTCTGCATCTTTTGACTAGCAAATGTTTAGATATAAACCATCATGCAGCCCTAGTGCCCAATCCTACCAATAATTCAATTACCTTTCTTTGGCATAGCTCATCGATATTTCTACAGCTAACATTACTTTCAATATTTAAGCCAATCAATTTATAAAATATTTTCTCCCGTGACCGTATGACAATAAACAAGAAAAAGTGTCTAAAAGCTTCGCAATTTTCTATTAGTCTGGTCAACTCAGAAAACTGATAACTTTTTTCTGTTTTTGTTTGGTTGTTTGGTTTTCTTTTGCGTCTTTAATTTTTTCCTGTCCCTAACATAGGCTGTAATTCACAAGCACTGAATTATTCTCTACCTTTCTGGTGTTTTTTTCTCCAGCAGAGAGTGAATAATCCATATATAGTTAATTAAGGATTCCATAAATTATAATCTCATGATAGTTTTGGATATAATTGTTTTATTTATTTTCTCTTTCTTCAGAATACTAATGAATACAAATGATTGGCCAATATTTAGGGAGAAAAAAGCAGAAAACCATGTAAAACCAATATAGTGAGGTCTAATTAATTCACACTAATTATTACAGGAAATGCACAGTTCGAATGAGTAGAAAACACGAATTATGAAATATTTTCAAAAATATATACTATTAGTTTTTGCAATTACATGTTGTTTTATTTTAAATCTGGTGACAAAATAGTGCCTCTCCAATATTTTTGAAGATGACAGAACATTTTATAAAATTGACTAATGTAGGGGTTCCATAGGCTTGGAAACTACCTTTCTTGAGTTGTATCGGATATGACCAGTATTACTACCTTGACCTTTTCCAGTTCTGTGGCTGGACAGATTCTGCAAATCAGTCTAGTCTTTGTGTTTTATGAATAAAGCAAATTATTTTACACATTAATACTAACTTTTGTTCTTTAACCGTTTGTAGGAGAGAAAATAAAATGAAAGACAAAAAGCAAAAGACTTTCAGCTTATCAGCCTAACAAAAACAGCAGGGCTGGATTTGGCCAGTGAGCCATAGTTTCCCAATAGATATCAACTTTTACGTATACATTTCTATACAGTTCTACCACAGTAGAAGCAAAAAAGACAAAAAAAAACCCCAAAGGATTGAAAAAATGTGAAAGATGATATTTAATGGTTAAATATAAGTGTACAAATCAGAGCTGCTGAATTTTATTTAATGTATGTGGATATTATTCAGATATTTGGTTATTTTTTGTATGAAGAAGATAAACACTTTCTTACCAGCAGTTGTAATTTTACCAAACTATTTTAATCCCTTAGAAACATTCCTACACAGTATTTTTCTGATATACTTAGTATTTTCAAAGCAAAAACAAATTGCCTATTTTATACTTCATTCTGTGAAACTCAAATGAAACTCACTTTGATGGGGAATGTATTAGTGTATTTTCACTCTGCTCTCCTCTGCAACCGTGACTCCGACCTTGAGTTTTGGCAGAACCAGTTGGGAAATGGCACAGCTCTGCCCCAAGAGGAGACGCTCAGGACTTTCCAATGGCTGTGTCACACACACACATATCTGGTCTGTTTTATTGAGCCTTGCTTTACAGGAGCAATAGGTAAGCCTCTCCCCAATACAAGTCTCTAGAATTTATAATCGCACATAGAATAGAAATGATTTCACAAAAATAATTGCTGTGTGGCATATGCGAGACAGCTATATAAGCTACAGATTAAAACAGTCTTTGACGTTTTTTCACCTGAATAGCTCTACTCCCTCCACACACATGCCCGCCCCCACCCCCCCACCCAATACACACACACGTTGTAAAAATGAAAATGTTAGGCCGGGTGCGGTGCCTTATGCCTGTAACCCCAGCACTTTGGTAGGCCGAGGCAGGCAGATCACTTGAGGTCAGGAGTTCGAGACCAGCCTGGCCAACATGGTGAAAACCCGTCTCTACTAAAAATAAAAAAAATTAGCTGGACGTGTTCACTTGAACCCAGGAGGCAGATGTTGCTGTGAGCCGAGATCACACCACTGCATTCCAGCTTGGGCAACAGAGCAAGACTCTGTCTCAAAAAAAAAAAAAAAGAAAGAAAAAAAGAAAGTTAGGATGCTTGGAGATTAAGTGACTTGGCAAAGGTTATAAAATTAACAAGTGGCAGGGGCTGGGAGGACTTCAGTGTAGTGCTCTCCTGATCTGTGTTGTGAAGACTGATTCTGAGCTTGAGCAGTCACTGGTGTTCACCCTCTAGATTTGCACTGGGTGACATAGGGTTATGCTGTGGGTCCCTTTCCTCACTTCACTTTGCAGTGACCAGTAGAACACATGTTGATGAACTTTAATTCTTTTCAGGGCATTGATACAAATCTTGCTTTCTGATGCATCTTTGAGAAGACACCTGCAGTTGGAAGGTGCAAATCAATTTACTAAACCTTTAGCCAAATTTCTCCACTTCTTCCTGCATCACTGAAAAGAAATAAAAGCACTTTACAGAGTTACGGTGGCCCAGATGCATTGAAATATCTTAAATTTTCTGCTACAGCTAGATGAAATATCTAGATTTCTAATTGCATTTTTCCCCTGAATGTTTACTCATGTGGTTATTAGCAGAAACATACTATACTTTAAATCAGGTGGTTGAGTAAAACCACTAATAAAATGCTGCTGATCTGTTATTACATCAAAGAAAATAAATTGAGCAGACTTTTGCTGGGCAAATGAATATGTTCCAACAATACTGAATGCAACGTTGAACATGTCATGGGCCTATTATCTGCAATAGAAAACAAAGGTATTTTTGTTTCCAATGTTTGTGGCATTGACAGAATATCTTGATTATAAAAAATAAGAGTAGATAAAAAACAAGAAGAAGCTTCCTGTCATAGACCTCTGTATAGATTTAATTACTGGAAATTATCAGTAACATAATAGGTCATTTGAAGAAGCCAAAATGTATTATGTGCATTCATTTTTAAAGTCATCTAATGAGATAATTCTATTCAATAAGGAGATCGTTCTATGTCCCTGGGGTATTTGAGAGGCTAAAGCAAAATATTAACTACACAGTAAGGCTGAAATGGATTCAATTCCTATATCTACCTCTTACAATCCGAGCAGGAATGAGTTACTAAAAATCAGTTTGCTCAGTTTTCTTGTCTGGGAAGAGAATAATAAACCTACCTAAGATGAGTGTTGTGAGGGCTAGAGATATTAAATTTAATACAGTTGGACAATTAAAAAGCTCTCCATTAATGATAGCTGAATTTATTAAATAATGACTATGTGCCAGATGCTAAAATCTCATTTAATTCTTAATTAATGTAACACACTCAATTCTCACAATGATTCTACAAATTTAGATATAATTTTCATCCACATTTATAAATGATGCTATGAGTATTGAATCTGAAGGGAGGAGGGGCTAGTACTCACTCAACTTAGTAGAACAAGTGAAGGGTGAAGCCAAGGATTAACTTCGGCGGTCTGACACCTTTGTCCTCCTTGCACCACCAGTGTGACTAAGTACCAAGAAGTAAGATCTTCTGAAAAGATCAGTATAATCAAAAGATTCATCTATGTGGAGCTTTCAGGAATCTCCAGAACTACTTCGAAGCAGGGGATAGTCAACTCCCTCACATGATACCATTCCCATGCAACTGTCTACCATGATGGTGCCAGCCCTAAAATGCAGGGCAGCACGTTGTCCTGACACTTGATCTTTTTAGTAAAGGGCACACAGATCATTAGGTTTGCACCACACAAAAAAGAGAGACGCTGGAAAAAATACCTACCCCAAAACCTATTAATTTCTGCACTGGACAATTCTTATAACACAGAATAAGAAAGGCTGACTCTATAGCCCAGCGATTTTACAATGTATGGCTAATCACCAAGATAAATGTTTTTATGCAACAGGAATTGCTTTCCTATAAATTTGTTTTTTTCTTTTCTGTAAAGTTAGTTTTCAAAAGCAGCAGATATAAAGACAGAGGTATGCTAAAATCAACAAATCAATCAAGTAAATAAAGGAGCGACTAGTTCATATAGGTTTGGGTGAGATATTGTCAAGGAAGCCGATAAAAAAAGATAATTTATGAGTTTGGGATTATTTAAGCTGAGGATATGTGTGCTTTCTAAAATAAAATTAAGTAAAGAAAGGATATCAGAGAAAAGGAGAGAATAAGGAAAAGATCAGAAAAAATAAGTAGAGAAGTAGGAAAATACAGTGAAAAGAGTCCAGAGAAAGTCAGAGGAGAAAAAAAGAGAAAAAAAAAGAAAAGAATGAGTTCTACCAGGATAAAATCAGCAGCTTTTAATTGAAATACCTTGGTTCTGAAATTCCTGGGGGAAGATGACTATTAATCAGGCCAACTCTGGCTGCTGAAGTTCATACATTCTTTTAACACTCTGAGCATCTATTTTTTAATGGATTTCTAAAGTTTAGAAACAATTGTTCAGTATACACTATTGGTAATAAACACAAAATGCTTTTATATTTGGAATCCTTTTCCAATTCATCAAAGTGTTTTCCTTTGTGCCATTGCATCATATTGAGGTCTCACCCTCTCACCTCATAGCCGAGGTCCCACCCTCTCACCTCACCGCTATTTTTTCCTTGCTGTTCTCAGTGTCAGTAAATAACACCAACAATTACTCAGTTACTCATGCCAGAAACCAGCCCCGTCTTTATCTCCTCCTTCTATCTAACCCTTGATATCAATTGTCGTACATTCTTGAACGTGCCCTTTCCTAACTAGCCCCACTGCGTCTGCCATAGTTGAGTAGGAGCACCATCATCTGTCCCCCAGGTGTCTGCATACCCTCAAGGTCAATCCTGTGCTCTGTTCTTTCTCTTCAGTCCTCACCTGCAGCCATGGTGATTTTGTTGTCGTTAATGCAAATATAATTATGATGTTCCCAAGTTTTATAGTCTTCAAAAAGTTTGCATTGCCTGGGAAATGAGAGCGAAGTCTTTGGCACGATGCACAGGTGCGCCATCAGCTGGTCCCATTTCTCTCTCCAGACATGTCTTTCCTCTGTTTTTGCCTCTCCCAGCCACATTGAGTTCAATTCCTTGAGAATGCCGTGTTCTCTTCTCCACTGTGTGTATGTAAAGGCAATAGTAGACTCTGTCCACTTCACTTTGCCTAGCTCATTTCTATTCATTATTCCAGTGTCGGCTTAACGGTCATTTGGTCAGGGAGGACTTTACTGATAATGTCATTCATTTGTATATTATCCTTTACTTCTTTCTCATAGTGCCTTTATCTATGTGTGATTCCTTAATCAGTTAGTGTTAAATATATCATGCATGTTCTTCCTGCTAGTCAACAAACTACATAAAGGCAAGAATTACCTCTTTCTTGTTCACCAAAATAACTAAGTAACTGGAGCATGATATATTTCAATAAATATTTCTTTCCAAACTGACTTATAAAAACTACCAGCTGTGAGAGAGATACATAAGAATATAACAAAACGAATAGATTAAATATGTCTGGTTTCCTTTAGGAAACTTGCAAAGCAACCCTGGGAACTTGATGGTGAGAGTACATGCCTCCCTGGTTTTGCCGGTTAGAGCACATACTACTAATAGAAATGAGAATGATCCCCATGATTATGTTTCAAAAATAAAAGTGACATACAAAGTATAAACAAATAAATACAAGTTGACATGCAAATTTTCCTTGGCCAAAAAAATAATCTCAACTCTAGCCAGAGGGCTTACAAATATCATGCAATAATCATAAGGAGAACGAAAAACATAGGCTGGGCACAGTGGCTCACGCCTGTAATCCCAGCACTTTGGGAGGCCGAGGCAGGTGGATCACGAGGTCAGGAGATCGAGACCATCCTGGCCAATGTGGTTAAACCCCATCTCTACCAAAAATACAAAAAGTAGCTGGGTGTGGTGACACGCACCTGTAATCCCAGCTACTCGCGGGGCTGAGGCAGGAGAATCACTTGAACCAGGGAGGCGAAGGTTGGCGAAGGTTGCGGTGAGCCAAGATTGCGCCACTGCACTCCAGCCTAGGGACAGGGCAAGACTCTGTCACAAAACAAACAAACAAGCAAACAAAAAATAAACAAACATGATTGGGTAACTTTAAAAACAACCATTATGTGCCAAAGTAAAATAGCTAATTGCGAGCCATATTCTATTACATGTTGAATTGTTTGGCAGTTAACTACCATCTAAAGGCAGGTATCACACCATGACATGTGCTGCTGATTTACTACCCAGTGATTAACACATATTAGACTTGGTTGAATAATTATTAATTAAGAGTATGTTAACTTTAGCTCTAAATAACCAGGCTGAAGAATATCCTTCTAAAGCATTGTTTCTAGTAAGCTTCAATTTCCTTGTGAAAGTTAATATTGATAATATTTTTCCTTAGCCTCATAAAAGTTTACTATATTGCTATTAAAAGCACCACAATTAATTCACTGCTTTTAAAAATTAAATGATGTCAGATTTAGTTATATAATGTTTGAATGAAATTTAGACATTTTACCAAGTGGCAAAGTATTGTGAATATCAATCGGAGACAAAGTTTGACAATAGATGTGGATATTGATTTAGATGTACAGGTGGGTCAGTATACACAAAATTTTACACAGTATATCAGATGCCAGATTATTTCTAAATGATCAAGTCTTGGAGATTCTAGTAAAAACTTTCAAATTTTATCTTTTTTCCTGAGGCTACGCTCAGCAAAACCAAATATTCTTAGTTGAAAACCTCTTACAAATTTAAAAATTCTTCAGATACTTAGAAATAATCAAGAAATAAGATTTCTTATTTTCTATCCTAAGTAAAGAACATTTTAAAAAATTATGTTAAAAAACAGAAGTTTGTTATCACAATTAACAAATTATCTAAACTGGAAGTGTGAAGTATGATTTTATAACCAGGATCAGTGCTTGATTATCCAGTAGTCCAACTAAGTGTGTGTGTGATGCACCAGCAAAACAATGACAAGTAAAATAAGTTTAGTGTTCATATGAGTTATCATAAATGGGGACATGACCACTGCACTCTGAGCAATTGGTAGAGCTGCCAGACAGGAAATTATCAAAGATATAGAGGAACTGAACATTACCATCAACCAGTAAAAAGTGTAAAATGTAATTGGCATTTATGAAACAGTCCACGTAACAATAACAGAATACACATTCTTTTTAAGTTCCCATAAAGCTTTTACCAAGAGAAATTGTCCTGGTCATGAAACAAACTCAACAAATATGAAGGAATTAAAGTCATTTAGTGTATATTCTCTGACTACAATGTAATCAAACCAAGAGACAATAACTAAAAGAAAGCAAGAAAATCTTCAAATACTTGGAAATTAAACAACACACTTATAAACCACTCTCAGATCAATAAACAAGCCTCAGAGGAAATGCAAAAATACACACAGCTAAATTAAAATAAAAACACAATATATTAAAATCTTTAGAATGCTGTTAAAGTAGTGCTGACAGAGAAATTTATGTACCAAATACTTACATTAAAGAGTAAAGGTCTCAATTCAAAACGTACATTCCTATTTCAAGAAACAAGAAAAAGAAGAGAAAAATAAGCCCAAAGCAAGCAGAAGAAAAAAAAATAATAGCAATAAGAGCAAAAAAATCAATGAAGCTGAAAATCAATTGCAAATGATATTACAGTTTTAATTTTGGTTTATGTGTGCTTATTTTTAAACAATAGAGAATATAAAAAAAACCAATAGCAGATTATTTGAAAAATATCACTAAAATTTATAGACATCTAGCAAGACTGATAAAGATTAAAACAGAAAGCAGAAAAAGACACAAATTATCAATATCAAGAATGAATCAGGGAATGTCACTACAGTCTTCTAGTACTTAAATGAATAATAAGAGAATCCTACAAACAACTTGACAGTCATAAATTAAGTAAGTTAGAAAAAATTAATCAATTCTTTGAAAATTACAATTTACCAAACTCAACCAAAAGAATTAAACAATCTGAATGATCTTATAACCATTAAAGAAATTGAATTAGTAATTGAAAAGTTTCCATAAATGAAACGTTCATGCTAAAATGGCTATACTGGGGAATTTTTCCAAATAGTTAAAGAACAATAGTTTTGCACAATCTCTCCCAGAAGAAGAAACATCTGCCAACTCACTTTATGAGTATTACCAAATTCAGACAAAAATATTACCAGAAAAGGAAACTACAGATGAATGTCTTTCATGAACATAGATGCAAAAATCTTCAGCAAAATATTAGCCAATATTATCCAATATTGAATAAACAAAAATATACAGGATAACCAAGTGTGATTTATCTCAGGTATGCAAGGCTGTTTGAACATTTGAAAATCAGTTAACATAAACTGTCACCTGAACGGGCTAAAGAAGAAAAATCACATGATTATATCAATAGATGCAGAAAAAGCATGGACAAAATCCAATATCTATACAAGCTGAAATAAATGAAAAACTCTCATCGAACTGGGAATAAAGGAAAACCTCCTCTCTTTGATAAACATCTACAAAAAAACTACATTTAATATCTTAGTGATGAGAAACTAGAAGTTTTCTCACTAATATCAGGAAGAAGATAGGAATGTCCCCTCACCACTCATTTTCTACTTTGTACTGGACTCCTAGCTAATGCAGTAACATAAGAAAATGATGTAAAAGGTGTACTGAATGAGAAGGAAGAAGTAAAACTGTCTTTGCAGGCTGCTTGATTGCCTGTGTAGAAAATGCAAAAGAATAAAAACAAAAAAACAAAAAAAAAACTACTGGAACTAAAAAGTGATTAATGAAAGGTTGCAGGATACAAAGCTATTACACAAAAGCCTATTGTTTTCCTGTATACCACTGATTAATAAGTGGAATTTGAACTTAAAAACACATTATCATTTACAATAGCACCCACAAAAAAAATGAAATACTTAGGTCTAAATGCAACAAAAAGTGTAGAAGAGGCCGGGTGTGTTGGCTCACGCCTGTAATCCCAGGACTTTGGGAGGCTGAGGCAGGCAGATCACAAGGTCAGGAGTTCAAGACCAGCCTGACCAACATGGGGAAACCCATCTCTACCAAAAATACAAAAATTAGCCTGGCGTGGTGGCAGGCGCCTGTAATCCCAGCTAGTCGGGAAGCTGAGGCAGGAGAATGGTTTGAATCCAGGAGGCAGAGGTTGCAGTGAGCCTAGATCGTGCCACTGCACTCCAGCCTGGGCAACAGAGTGAGACTCCATCTCAAAAAAAAAAAAAAAAAAAAAAAAAGTGGGTAGAAGCTCTATATGAGGAAAACAAGTGTTCTGATGAAAGAAATCAAAGAAGAGCTAAGTAAATGGAGAGATAAAGATGTTAGTTTTTCCCAACTTGATCTGTAGATTCAGAACCATCCCAATCCAAATCCAAGCAAGTTATCTTGTGGGTACTGGCAAACTGATTCTAAAGTTTATATGGAGAGGCAAAAGATCAAGATTAGTGAACTAAATATTGAAGAATAATAGTCAGAGGACTGACATTATCTGACTTCTAGACTCACTAGAAAGCTACTGTAGTCAAGATGGTGTGTATTGGCAAAATAGATCAATGGAACAGAACAGAGAGCCCAGAAATAGACCCACATAAATATAGTCAACGAACCTTTGACAAAGGTGTAAAGACAACAGAGTGGAGCAATAATAGTCTTTTCAACAAGTGGTGCTGGAACTGGATATCCATATAAAACAAAAAAAGAATATTGACACAGACCTTATACCTTTCACAAAAATTATCTCACAATGGATCATAGGCTTAAATGTGCAATACAAAACTATAAAGCTCTTTGAATATACTATAAGACAAAATCTAAGTGACCTTCAGTATGGTGATTTTTTTTTTTGAGACAGAGTCTCTCTGTCAGCCAGGCTGGAGTGCAGTGGCATGATCTTGGCTCACTGCAACCTCCACCTCCCGTGTTCAAGTAATTCTCCTGCCTCTGCCTCCCAAGTAGCTAGGACTACAGGTGTGTGCCAACACACCCGGTTAAGTTTTTGTATTTTTAGTAGAGATGGGGTTTCACCATGTTAGCCAGGATGAGTATGGTGATATTTTTTAGAGATAAAACAAAGGCACCTCCATGAAAAAAAGTTGACAAACTGGACTTTATTAAGATTAAAATTTTCTACTCTTCAAAAGACACAGACTGGGAGAAAATATTTACAAGAGACGTATCTGACAAAGGACTATATCCAGAATATACAAAACACTTTAAAATCTCAACCGTAAGAAAATGAACAATTCGATTTTAAAAATTGGCAAAATATCCGAACATCTAACCAAAGAAGATATACAGATGGCAAATATGCATATGAAAAGACACTCCACATCCTGTGTCATCAGAGGAATGCAAATTCCAACAACAAATGAGATACCATTACACACCCATTAGAATGGCCAAAATCCAGAACACTGACAACACCAAATGCTGGTGAGGGCACGAAGCAAAAGCATTTCTCATAAATACAGTCAATATTCATTGCTGGTGGGAATGCAAAGTGGTACGGCTACTTTGGAAGACAGTTCAGCAGTGTCTTAGAAAACTAAGCACACTCTTACCATATAATCCAGAAATTGTGCTCCTTGATATTTACACAAATGAGATGCAAGCTTATGTCCACACAAAACCCTGCAGCACACAGATGCTTAGAGCAGCTCTGTTCATAATTGCCTAAACTTGGAAGCAACCAGGATGTCCACTGGTAGATGAATAAATAAATAAACCATAATGCATCCAGACAATGAAATATTATTAAACAACAAAAAAATGAGCTATCAAGTCACAAAATTCATGGAGAAACCCTAAATGCATATTACTCAATGAAAGAAGCCAATCTGAAAAGGCTGTGATTTCAACTATATGATATTCTGGAAGAACCAAAACTATGAAGACAATAAAAACCTCAGTGTTGCCAAAGGTTGGGGTAGGAGAGGGATAAATAGGCATAGCATAGAGGATTTTTATGGAACGGAAATTATTCTATATGGTACTATGATTATGGAGACATGCCATTGTATATGTGTCAAAATCCATAGCATGTACAGAACCGAGTGAACCCTAATGTAACTATGGACTTTGGATGATAATAACATGTTAATGTCGGTTCCTCAAGTGTAGCAAATGTATCACTCTAGTGTGGAATATTGATGGTGAGGGAGGCTGGGTACTTACAGTTGCAGGAACATATTGGAACTCTGTCCATTCTGCTCAAATTAATTATGAACCTAAAGCTGCTCAAAAAATAAAGGCTATTAATAATTTGAAAAGAAGATATCATTACACATTTATCAAAAGGCTTAAAATAAAAAGTAGTGACAGCACCAAATCCTAACAAGGATGCAGAGAAACTGAATCATTCATACATTGCAGCGGGGATGCAAAATGGTAGTGCTACCCTGGGAAAACAGTTCGGCAGTTTCTTTATTTAAAAAAAACTAAATGTGCAATTGCCTTATGACTTAGCAATTGCATCCCTTGTTATCCTGGATAAATGGAAATGTATATTTATATAAAATCCTATACATTAATATTCTTTTCTTTTTTTTTTTTTGAGACAGAGTCTCACTCTGTCACCCAGGCTGGAGTGCAGTGGTGCCATCTCTGCTCACTGCAACCTCCGCCTCCCAGGTTCAAGCGATTCTCCTGCCTCAGACTCTGAAGTAGCCGGGACTACAGGCGCCCACCACCACGCCCGGCTAATTTTTTGTATTTTTAGTAGAGACAGGGTTTCACCATGTTAACCAGGATGGTCTTGATCTCCTGAACTCATGATCCACCCACCTCGGCCTTACAAAGTGCTAGGATTACAGGCCTAGCCACCGTGCCTGGCCTACATTAATATTCGTAATAGCTTTATTTATAGTAGTGAAAAAAAACTGGAACTGATCCCGATGTTTTTCAATTGACACATGGTTAAACAAGCTGTGGTACCTTCTTGTCATAGAATATTACTCAACAATGAAAGGGAACACCCTATCGACATAGCACACAACTTGAATGGAGCTCCATAGAGTTATGCCAGATGAAAAAGTCAATTTCAAAAGGTTATATGTAAGCCTGGGCAACAAAGCAAGACCTCATCTCTAATAAAACAAAAAAATTAATTAGCTGGGCATGGCAGTGCACACCTGTCATCTCAGCTGCTTGAGAGACCAAAGCAGGAAGATTGCTTGAGCCCAGGAATCCAAGGCTTCAGTAAGCTATGATTGCACCACTGCACTCCAGGCTGGGTGACAGTGAGACCCCCAACTCTGTGATTCCATTTATATAACATTCTTGAAATAAAAAAATGGAAATGGAGATGAGATTAGTGGTTGACAAGAAAAGAGGCAGTGGACATAGTGGCAGGAAGGCAGAGCATATGTGTCATATAAATGAGCCAAGGGTGGCCTCTGTCTGTTGACCCCTAGGTTGTTTATTTCTCCATGATAGGCTGAGAACCATTAGCACAACAGTCCACCAGCACCAAATTTAAATTTTTACACACTTAGCAGTTTTAAACATCTTTCAAATAAGCAGATTTTGAGTCATTTACAGCCTGCCTGTTTTTAATGCCCCATGAAACTGCATCCAATGTCTGCTAGTTACAGATAAGATAAGCCTCTGTGTCATAAAGATCCCAAGTCACTGTGCCTTTCAGAGCTCTATGACCTGCAGACTCCCTCTTTGCTGCTAAGGGACATCAGCTAGACACACAGCCCCCTTGCAATTCCACTTTTCCCATGGAGCTCCTTTGCCCTCCTCCCCTTTTGAGTACTAACCCTCATGTCCTAGCATCTAGACAGGCTCTTGCTGTGAGGGAGCTGCCCAATGCACAAACTTGCCTAATAAAGTCATTTACCTACTAAAGCTTGTGTGGTCTACTGTCTCGTGGTCATGCCTTTTCCCTGATCAGCCTGCAAATCCCTGGAACCTCCTACAGCATGATTATAAAAAGGCAATGCAAGGGATCATGGTGGTGATAAACTGTTCTGTATCTTGACTCTGGTGGTGGATGCACAAGTCCACACATGTGATGAAATTGCATAGAACTGAATATGCGTACACAGTGGAGTACAAGTAAAACTGGAGAAATCAAAACAAGATCAATGGACTGTATTAATATCAATCTCCTGGCTGTGATAATGTACTATGGTTTCACAAAGTATTATCATCAAAGGAAACCAGAAAAATAACATGCAGGGTCTCTCTGTGTTATTCTTATGAGTGCATGTGAATTAACAATTATATCGAAAGAAGAATTTAATTGATAAATATCATCATGAATAAATTTGGGGAGTACTTCTTATAGTGTAGTATTATTTTAATTTTTGAGGCACATATGTTAGGAACACTACAATTTTTTTCTGTCTCTTATTAGTATACTTTAAGTTCTGGGATACATGTGCAAAACATGCAGGTTTGTTGCATAGGTATACACATGCCATGGTGGTTTGCTGCACCCATCAACTCATCATCTACATTAGATGGATCCTAATGCATCCGTTCTCTAGCCCCCTGCTCCCTGACAGTCCCCAGTGTGTGATGTTCCCCTCCCCGTGCCCATGTGTTCTCATTGTTCAACTCCCACTTATGAGTGAGCACATCCGGTGGTTGGTTTTCTGTTCCTGTGTTAGTTTACTGAGAATGATGGTTTCCAGCTTCATCCATGTCCCTGCAAAGGACATGAACTCATCCTTTTTTATGCCTGCATAGTATTCCACAGTGTATATGTGCCACATTTTCTTTATCCAGTCTATCACTGATGGGCATTTGGGTTGGTTCCAAGTCTTTGCTACTGTGAACAGTGCTGCAATAAACATACATGTGCATGTGTCTTTATAGTAGAAAGATTTATAATCCTTTGGGTATATACCCAATAATGGCATTGCTAGGTCAAATGGTATTTCTGGTTCTAGATCCTTGAGGAATCGCCACACTGTCTTCCACAATGGTTGAACTAATTTACACTCTCACCAGCAGTGTAAAAGCATTCCTATTTCTCCACATCCTCTCCAGCATCTATTGTTTCCTGACTTTTTAATGATCACCATTCTAACTGGTGTGAGATGGTATCTCATTGTGGTTTTGATTTGCATTTCTCTAATGATGAGCAATGAGGAGCTTTGTTTTGTATGTTTGTTGGCCACATAAATGTCTTCTTTCGAGAAGTGTCTGTTCATATCCTTTGCCCACTTTTTGATGGGGTTGTTTGTTTTTTTCTTGTAAATTTGTTCTTTGTAGTGTGGCAGGACAAGCCACAGACAAAAACCCTCAGACACCGAGTTAAAGAAGGAAGGGCTTTATTTGGCTGGGAGCTTCAGCAAGACTCTCATCTCCAACAACTGAGCTGCCCAAGTGAGCAATTCCTGTCCTTTTAAGGGCTTACAACTCTAAGGGGGTCTGTGTGAGAGGGTCATGATTGATTGAGCAAGCAGGGGGTACACAACTGGGGGCTGCATGCACTGGTAATCAGAACGGAACAGAACAGGACAGGGATTTTCATAATGCTTTTCCATACAATGTCTGGAATCTATAGGTAACATAACCTGTTAGGTCAGAGGTCAATATTTAACCAGGCCCAGGGTGTGGTGCCGGGCTGTCTCCCTGTGGATTTCATTTCCACCTTTTAGTTTTTACTTCTTTCTTTGGAGGCAGAAATTGGGCATAAGACAATATGAGGGGTGGTCTCCTCCCTTAGCAGATTCTGGATATTAGCCCTTTGTTAGATGGATAGATTGCAAAAATTTTCTCCTATTCTGTAGGTTGCCTGTTCATTCTGATGATCTTTTCTTTTGCTGTGCATAAGCTCGTTAGTTTAATTAGATCCCATTTGTCAATTTTGGCTTTTGTTGCCATTGCTTTTGGTGTTTTAGTCATGAAGTCTTTGCCCATGCCTATGTCCTGAATGGCATTGCCTAGGTTTTCTTCCAGAGTTTTTATGGTTTTAGGTCTTACATTTAAGTCTTTAATCCATCTTGAGTTAATTTTTGTTTGTATAAGGTGTAAGGAAGGGGTTCAGTTTCAGTTTTCCACATACGGCTAGCCAGTTTTCCCAATGGCATTTGTTAAATAGGGAATCCTTTCCCCATTGCTTGTTTTTGTCAGGTTTGTCAAAGATCAGACAGATGGTTATAGATGTGTGGTGTTATTTCTGAGGCCTCTGCTCTATTCCATTGGTCTATATATCTGCTTTGGTACTAGTACTATGCCGTTTTGGTTACTACAGCCTTGTAATATAGTTTGAAGTCAGGTAGCATGATGCCTCTAGCTTTGTTCTTTTTGCTTAGGATTGTCTTGGCTATACGAGCTCTTTTTTGGTTCCCTGTGATCTGCCCGCCTCAGCCTCCCAGAGTGCTGGGATTATAGGCATGAGCCACCACACCCAGCTCTCTACAATTATTTCAAGACTTGGGGCTCTCTGGAGGTCCTAATATAGCTCTAGGTTGTCTAGGCAATTTTGTGGGGAAGCAACACACACACACTGCGATATTGTGTAATATATATCCTTCTTCAGTACCACTTTCCTGCATGCATACAACTCCTACAATCCTTAGAACCTCTTAAGTGATGTCTTTTTGTATGCTAATAATTAACTGATGGCTAGCAGCCTCTAGGTAGCTTCAGGATGGGGGCTGGTCACCAGGAAGGACAAAGGCTGATTAGAGGATTGGGACATACAGCCCCCCTCCCCAAACCAAAGGAGGGGAGAAGGGCTGAAAGTTGAGCTGATCACCAACGGCCAATGATTTAATCAGCCATGCCTGCTTAATAAGGCTTCCATAAAACCCCAAAAGGTCCGGTTTGGGACAGCTTCCAGATAGCTGAACACGTGGAGGTTCCTAGAGGGCAGCACACCCAGGAAGGTATGGGAGCTCTGTGCCCTTCCCCCATACCTTGCCCTATGCATCTCTTCATCTGTATCATTTGTAATCTCCTTCATCATAAACTGGTAAACATTAAGTAAGTGTTTCCCTGAGTTCTCTGAGCCACTGTAGCAAATTAATCAAACTTAAAGAGGGAGTCATGGGGGCACTAACTTGAAGCCTGCCAGAAGATCCAGAAGCCCCAACTTTTGACGATGGGGTGAGGGAGGGGCAGTCTTGTGGATCCCAGCTCTCAAGCTGTGGGATCTGACGCTATCTCCAGGCAGGTAGCTTCAGAATTGAATTAGAGGATGTCCAGCTGGTGTCTGCTGCAGAAATGATTGCTTGCTTGGTATATGGGAACCACCCATTCAATATTTGGTCACAGAAATCTGTGTTTGTTGTTGTGGTGTGAGAGCTGAGGAAAAATAGTTTGAGTTGTTCCACATACACACACACACAGAGACATGAACACACACAGGCATGCACACACCCCTCACACAATCCCTGAACTCCAGCACAGATAATATAGCAGGTTGATTTTTGCCTACTAAGCCTCTTGTGTCCCTCTGAGGCACAGGTTACATTTATCACTTCTTTGCTCTGAAGGGCTTCGATTATTCAGCCACTCTTTTTTTTTTTTTTCCTATTGTTGTAGCCATCTGTCTCCTTAACTTGGTTATTTCTTCCCATACCCCCTGCTCCTCCTCCCCGGCCCTGCCAAATTCTCTAGAATAGGATGAAGATTCCAGAATTGGCTCTTATCCTGCTGTTTTCAAAGCAGGCCCCTTTGTAGTCCCTCCCATCCCCCGCTACCCAAGACCAGATCCAGGCAATATTCTCTACATCACCTGCAGCTGGGACGGATTTTGATGTGATCACTTACACACTCTTAGTCCCCAAGCCCAGTTTAGGTTCTGGAAGATCACATCCTCCAGCAGCAGGATTGGAAACAATCATTTCCATGAAGTCAGTATTCCAATTTAATTCCCAGAGCGGAATCCTTCAATGTTCAGCACATTCCTCCTTCCTCACATTTTGTCAGGAGAACAACAATAACAACCAAAACAAATTTGAGAAAAAAGATCATTTCAAACGGTGATAGTTGTTTGAAGGAGAGATGGGGAAAAAAAGAATGCATGGGTGACTCTACACAGCATATGAGTGTTTCTGGGAAGACCTGGGATATGACATTTAGCATTCGAATGCAGGTCTGAAAATTTAGGAGCCAATCAAAAGAAAAGGAACAGGGAAAAGGCAATGAGAAAGGAGGATTAGATCCCCTTTAGCGAATATACCAGGGTAGGATCTGAACCAGGATTACCGTTAATATAAGGTATCGAGGAAACTAAATGTATTTGATTGGTGCAAAAGTAATTGCGGTTTTGCCATTGAAAGTAATGGTAAAAACCGCAATTACTTTCGCACTAATCTAATAAAAAGTCACTCACTCTTGGGGGCTGACCCTGCACTTGCAGGAGCCTAAGAGTGAGCACCTCCTTACACTTTGCACCTGGGCACCTTACTCTTAAGGAGCACTGAGCCCCAGGACTATGTGAGTGTAGAGCCAGCCCCTGAAAGTAAGCACCTTGGTGCTTTACATTTCGTGCCCTCGGGACCTCATTCTAGTTCCAGCCATGGGCAAGAACAAGCAGGTGGCTTTGAGGAACAGAAATAAAGCCAATGTTTCTGGAGAAAAATACATTGCTAAAGACTAGGCAGGGGCAAGTTGAGTATGGGTTAATATACCAGATAAAAAGTTGCTTTTTACTTTATATGTGATGTGAATTTACTGGAGGGTTTTCAGCAGGGAAATGTCATGATCTAGTTAATATTCTAAAAAGTTTACAGTAACAACCCAACTAAAAACAGACATGTCACCCAAGAAGGTATGCAGATGGTAAATAAGCCCATGAAAACATGCAACAAATCCTATGTCATTAGAGAAATACAGATTAAAACAATGACACACATATTAGAGCAGCCGAAATCTGGAACACTGACAACACCAAATGCTGGTAGAGGATGTGGAGCAAGAGCAACTCTCATTCATTGCTGATGGGAATGCAAAATGGTACTTTGGAAGACAGTCTGGCAGTTTCTTGCAACACTAAACACACTCTTATCATATAATTTAGTAATTGCATTTTTTGATATTTATACAAACGACTTGAAAACTTATGTTTGCACAAAACCCGGCAAATAGAAGTTCATAGCAGCCTTATTCATAATTGCCAAACCTTGGAAGCAACCAAGATGTTCTTCAGTGGACGAATGGATAAATAGACTGTGGTACATCCAGACAATGGAATATTATTCAACAATAAGAAGAAATGATCTATCAAGCCACAAAAAGACATGGTGCAACCTGAAATGCATATTGCTAAGAAAGTAGGCAATTCGAAAAGGCTGCATATGGTACAATTTCAGTATATGACATTTTGTAAAAGGCAAAATTATAGAGACAGTAAAAAGATCAGTAGTTCTCAGGGGTTAAGGGGTAGACAGGCAAAAATAGGCAGAGCACAGAGAATTTTTTAGGTCAACAAAAATACTGGGTAGGATACTAGTGGGGGACACATGTCATTATATTCTTATACAAACCCATATAATGTACAAAACCAAGAATGAACCCTAATGTAAACTATGGACTTTGGATGAAGATGGTGTGTCAAAGTAGGTTCATCAGTGGTAACAAATGTACCACTCTGGTGGGGAATGTTGAGAATAGAGGAGGCTCTGCATGTGCAGGGGGAGGGGGTGGGTGGGAAATCTCTGTACCTTCCTCTTAATTTTGCTTTGAACCTAAAACTGCCTTAAAAATAAAGTCTTTTTTTAAAAAAAAAAAGGTTAACACTAACTATTCTGATAATTTAAATGGGAAAGTGTAGAAACCAAGAGACCAGTGGGAGGCTACCACTGGAGTCCAGGCAGGAGCCTGGAGGTGGACAGTGTAACAGCAGAAAATGGAGAAAAGTGTACAGGTTAGAAAAAATGTTGGTATCATATGAGAGTGACCACGTGGCTGAAATTGGTGTTGTTCTAGGGAAAGTTGCAGGTGGGGAGTGTGGGGGAGGACTGTGAAATTGTGGATTGTATTTCTATCACATGATTTGAGACTCAACCATGGTTCTACGGGGACTATAGATAGAATATACAGGAAGGCAGACTAAAACAAGTGCAAATATCTATGAGTTCCCTGTAGACATCTCCTTGTGCCATGAGAAAAATTTAGCTTGGATAGAAAAAAAAAAGCCTGTGTCGGCTGTATTGTAGTGTTGTATGCTTCAATTTCACTGGACACTGAAAATTTGCACTACAAAGAGATTATACTGACCTTAATGTCCAAAAAGCATTACTAATTGTTCTACAAAGAGTTTGTATCAAGCATAGTCTTCTATTGGTATCCTTAAAGAAAGGATTCTGTAGAAAATGCATTGTCCTCAAGCCTCAGTTGGGCCATTTTTACTTAGGGCAAGTCTGGCCTTCTCTCTGCTGCTCCTTTCTGGTGGTTTCTCTATTCTCTTGCCCTCTTCTTCCATTTCTCCCCTACTCAGCATAGAACCTGCTTGTATGTCTTTCCACACAGTAGACTGACTGGATTTGAATCTTTTTATTTTCACTTACATGCAGTGGAACCTTAAGTAACTTACTTAACTGGCCAGGTTTTAGTTTTCTCACTTGTAAAATGAAGATAATACTAATATTTACATCTGTCTTTAGGCATAAAGAGTCAATGTGGTAATATATGAGAAGCTCTAACAAAATGACCTGGCACATATTATGTGTGGAATAAATTGTTTTTAGTTCACAGTAAAAGTGAAGTCATTAGATAATAACTTGCTTTATTTCTGCCTAGAAGCTGTCTGACTCATGCTTACTTTTGCTTTCTTTACCCCTGGAAGGTATTGCTCTTCTGATACAGGTTAATCCTTCTACTTGTATCTGAATCCCAACCTTCCATCCTCCTTTGGGACTCTGGTCCCTCAGATATTCTTTCTTTTTCTGCACCGTTAGCCTCTCTCAATTAATGTTGCTCCCAGACACAAAAAATATAACTTTCAGTTGCAACCTTCCATTTCTCACCCTCTCTAGCTCTGTCTTCCACTGCAATAATTCTCTCTTCAGCTGTGTCTAATCTGTTATCTTATGTTAACTACAATTTTTAATTTAAAGTATTATAATTTTTAAATATTATATTTGGTTATTTTTCAAATAAATCTAACTATATAATATATTGTTGCTTTTTCATACTCCTCTCTCTGATGTCTTTAATCATGTTAAGCATGTTTATTTTATAGCTTCAAATCATTTTATTATTTGAAGTTCTTGGACATATAAGCCTGCTATTTACTATTTGCTGACTTTTGCTCATGCTATATTATTTATTTATATTTTTAATACCTTCCCATTGTAAGCTCATCTTTAGTAGAATTTTATCTGTGAGATTCTTGGCTGGCCTAACTTGAGGAAGTGAGGTTTACTTTTGGCTTTAGGGTTATCATTGACTTGGGATCATGTTTGTATTATTCTCTGCTTTGGAATTCCAAGACAGTGACAAGCATATAAATTGGAACTCAAAGCTATAGGAGGTCAAGGTAATAGCTACAAATTATCAGGAAAGGATTTTTCCCCATGTGCTACACAGAATAAGATGGGCTTTTGTTCCTTTTCACCTTGTATCCATAAGAAGATTTTTCACACTTTTATATATGCTTTAATCATCTGGTGGTCCTGACTTTGTGTGAGAGTGTTAATTCCCATCAACTCTTTTCAACATGTGTGGGCCCATGCCCTTCTCTTCCACCTTATATGTCTCTTAGGCCTCAATGACTAGCAAATCTAGCTGGAGTGGTTGCTTTTGTTTTGTTTTTTTATTCCCTTCCCACCCCCATTTCATGCCCCATGAGAATTTATTTATTTTGCAGGGAGCTCAGATAAGGGTTTAAATGGATTTTTAAATATATATATATATATAATATAAGTAATATATATATAAGTAAATATAATTTACTTATATATACATATTTATTACTTATATTATATATATATATATATATCTATATATATCTATATATCTATATCTATATCTATATCTATATCTATATATCATCCAGAGTTCCTAAGTATTTTAGCTGGAGGTTTTTTGGATGATCTGGTCCCTTGGTACTCAGAGTGTTGTCCTCAGGTTAGCAATACCCCTTGGGTGCTTATTAGAAATGCAGGATCTCAGGCCCCACCCCAGACCTGCTGAATCACAATGTGTACGTTAACAAGACCCTTAGATAAAGTTCAATAAGACATCGCCAAACAGACACAATATGTTTTTAAGATTAATCATTACTGTATCCTACACAAAAAGCAGCAATGTCCACCCATCCCAGGTAGTAAAAAGTTTGGATCTGTAACATGTTCTGTCTGTAAACTCTACTCATGCTGCCAAAGCTGTGTTCTCCTGCTCTCCCCTTGCCTCAGCCTCTAAGATACAGCACAAAGGCTGCTATCTCTGGAGGGTCCTTCCTGCTGCTGCCTGAGGCCTCCTCCATGCTCTCCCACAGCATCCTACACAACTTTTCCATGTCCTATCACACATTGTGATGATCCCCTCCCTCCCTAGTCAGCGCAGACTCTGTAAGATATGGACTGCCTTTCCTCTAGCACAGAGCCTGGAACATTGCAGGCATTTGAGCAATATTTGCTAAATGATTTAATTAACGACTAAAGAAATAACCTATAGGGAATATTAAACACTAAGTATATATAATAGCCTCAAGTTAGCTAACCCTCTGTGGTTGGTAATATAATAATTGCTATGTCAATCCACTTCTGTACCACAACTATATCCAGGAAGGATAACTCTGAATATAACATATCCTTAGAAAATATTTATTTAAAAACTATTTTTAAAAATTTTTTGTAGAAGCAGAGTCTTGCTATGTTGCCCAGGCTAGTCTCAAACTCCTGGCCTTAAGTGATCCTCCCACCTCAACTTCTCAAAGTGCTGGGATTATAGGTATAAGCCACCATGCCCAGCCTAAAACACTACTTTTAGTATTTTTTATTTGGTATACATTTGAAAAGGTGTGAAATGAGGATGTGTGTGTCAGTGGGATGCAATAATGCTGCTTCCATGTTACTCTACTTTAATGCAGGTGTATGGGGGGGACTTGGAATCTGCAGTAAGAAAGAGAGGAAAGATGGAAGTTCCTCCCTCACAAATATCCCACCTCTTCTGCATGCATCTCCAAGAAGACCTTCTGTTTCACAAGTCACCCTTCCAGCAATGGGACGAGTAATGGCAAATAATCATTTTTTTCTTTTCTTATATATTTTTTCAACTACAGCGTATTCTAAATCCTTCTAGAGAACCTTTCTAGTATTGCTCTCTAATTTGTATTATTGCTTTGTGTCAGGATATTGATTTTCATTTTCATTTTGACTGAAAGTGAAGTTAGACATTGTTAGCTGTGAGCAGTCAATTATAGTTTAATGACTATTTTGCAATGAGATAATATTCCTGTTTCCCTCCTCTGGGAAAACCAATTCTGTAAGATGTACAGAACTCAGTCCTCACCATGGTTTTGCATCCTCTCATTTTCCTCACCCTGTCACCGTATTTGGCTCTGTTGCTCAGCACCCTAACTCTGTGTGCCAAGGTAAATAAATCATACGTCAGGATACACAACTGCTCTAGTTAATAACCATGCAGCCACCTAATTAGAGAAACACTGTTTACCAGACATGGCAACTCAGTTTTTCTTTTCTTTCTTTAATTTTCTTAAGGTCTTTGGCAGTTCAGTCTGGAAAAGTAAACGCTATTTACCCAAAAGACAGTAATTTTAAACTCCCCTTTCGGATGGTCTCCAGTGAGAAATGAAGCTGAGGAGGTGGAGAGGACAGGAGGGGCTGTTCCTCCAGCTGTTGGAAGCAATCTTGGCTTGGAGAAGAATGTCTGATCCAACCATAGCACACTGGAAACGTTGGAGCCGTCAGTATCCGGGGAGCAATTCCAGAGAAGGCCTAACTTCCAACAGCCCAGGCTTTTCATGAACTATTCTGGTCGTTGTTTCTCTGTTTAGGGAGTTCCCTTTGGCAGGAGCTGCGATTTACACAACAGAAGGTGACACCACTGGCAGCGGAGCATGCCTCTTCGAATCCCCTACCCGGGCAGTGCTCAGCTCCTTCTTCTGCTTCATGCTCCAAAGCTAGGAACCCACTGAAAACCCCTGCTATGCAAGCCCTTTTATTTAGATTCAGGCGGCTTTATTTTCACTTCCTTCCCTTCGAAATGCAGGATACTCTTTCTCAAAGGCAGATTAGATGTTCAACACTCTGACTACATTCAACTAAAACCCCAGGTGATCCCCATTAAAAACCAGTCAGGCTTTGGGGGAGATGCCAGAGGGGGTGTTGTTGTGACTTGTTCTTTCTGGAAGCCTAAGCCAGTGTCTGGTCTCTTCTATGTCTGGTGTGGCCCAGCTGGTGAGGGGGCCTCTGCCAAGCACTGAGAAGTTAGCATATTACATCCTTATTACATTCAACTATCTCTCTCTCTCTCTCTTTTTTTTTTTTTTCGGTCATGCAACTTGAGTGTGTTTGGGACTAAGGCCTTGAGTTTCTGCATTCTGTGTCTTCTATCAGCTGCTTTCACTCTCACATTTGTGACACCCAATATTGCAACTGGGGCCTCCAGGGTGAGACTGTGCATCCCTAGGAAGCACTGTTGTGATGGAGCCAAAAGGCCTGTGTCTTCCGGGGACATGAACTTCCCAGCCGAGTGTTACCACAGCCAGTAACAGACGTAAAACTCATCTCTTCCCTCTAGGGTCCAGCAAAAAAGCAAAAATCCCAGAAGCTGAGCTGCCTTTTCACCCAGCCCAGCTAGAATAGACTGCTGTGCTCAAATAGACAGAGGACTCCATGGAAAATGTGTTTCCCAGTCCTTTCTCTCCTAATATCCCTAACAGGAGAGAGATCACGCGTCCACATGCATAGAGGCAGAGAAAGAAAAGGAAAGAAAAAAGGTGATATTTTATTTTGCAAGTTCTACTGCAGCCAAATTGTTCCCCTTTTAAGAAGTTGGGGAAAGTCAGGAAAGTGAGAGTAGAGAAAGAGCATTTATTGAGTGCCAATTATTTATTCATCAATTATTAGGTGTTTGCCCTGTACTAGGTAGCGTGCTTCATGTATGTTTCAGGGATTTAATGGTGATTATATATCTAATCTTTAAAATAACTATATATTTTTGTCTTGGGGCAAGGCTGATTATAACCTCTACTTTTACAGATGAGAAAACTGAGGCCTCTTTCAGGTTGCACAACTTGCATGTGGCAGAGCAAAACTCTGAAGCCAGGTGCATTTTGACTCCAGAGCCTGTGCAGTTGCTACCCACTCTGATCCTCTTACAGGGTCATGTGAAATGATGTGGAATAATTAAGTTTATTATATCATGGCATTGAAATACCAATTAAACACTAAAATCATGATGATAATATAATTCCAAAGAAAAACTTGGTGTTAGGGTTATGGGCAGTTTATGTGTTCAACAATTACATACTTTTTGATATTGATATACAAGTAAAATAAAGGAAAAATATTGTATTAATAACGTTTGCTGTGGATCTGCTTCTGGGAGGGAAAGAACTGCTTTAAGTAGCCTTGGTACTAAGACAATAAACCACGGAGAGCCAAGAACACATAGCCTCATGCATAGTAACAAAATCATCTCATCCAAAAGGATGATCAAATCAATACTAACTATAGGAATATTTCTAAATTTGGGTGCATGTAATTATGCAATCTTAATAAATGATTTTACAATCTTTAACAGAGGAAGACATAAAATATGCATTTAAATGACCAAATATTTCATGAGAATGCACTTCATATCAGAAACTATGTTTGGTCCTGGAAATACAGAGATTAAAAATACTCTCCTTACTTCTAAAGAAAGTACAACTTATGAAAGGCTTAACAACAAATTTGCTTTAGGTGGTCTTTAGTAATTGGGTCCTGGTTTGTCACAAGCACTGTGACCCTTGGCAGATCAAGATAGCATGGTGGAAATGCTGTCAGAGCCAGGGAAATTAGGGCTTGAACACTGACCTCAATCCTTACTAGCATTCAATAAATGCAACCATTCTAATGGCTGAAAGTAGATCTGTTTATGTGTCAGATCTTCATTTCCTCATCTATAAACCAAGAGGTCTGGTTGATAGAAGAAGACTCTTGTAGCTCTGGTATCTTTGACTCTATATTTTGAAAAATCTGATTCCACCATAACAGATATGGGAGGTTGTGTCATGGTCAATCACTAATATCAGGAAGAGAAAAGTAAGTCAAGACTAATTTTTCTACCGCAGCTACTATTTCTCTCAAATATAGAATTCATTTTCCCTTCTCCGCCCATTGTACCTCCACTGGGCTATTAACCAGACTTCAACTTGACAGGTTTAAAATTCCATCTTATTTGTTGCCCACCCCAAGCTCAAGTAGCTAATGAGCAGAAAAATGACCAGAAGATGGGAAAGAGGATAAAACACAGAGTACTTCGATATTAACAAAGAAAGTGACAGCTGAGAGCTGACTGCAACTTGTTGACCTTCTCAGGGAGCTTCTTGAATAAATACATGTGGTTTAATTTTTTAACAAGGTTCACTTCTCAAGACCCTCCCCCACCAGGATAGCAAAAAAAAAAAAAAAAAAAAAAAAAAAAAAAAAGTAGAACACTATGATTGTATGAAAGTAGTGATAGGAATTCAAAATCTGAAGAAAGAAAGATGAAAGACAAAGCATTAAAAAAAATCTGGGCACTTTGTCCACAAAGACAACAGATATTAAAGATTGAAAATCTTGAAGTCATGAAACTCCCTAGCATGAGCTCAAGCTGTTGCCCTCTGTGACAGCCCCAGTTCTAGGACCCCCAGGGTGGCACCAGCAGCACTTCTCAGTGTGTGGTCCTGAGTGCAGCCTCCCTGCAGCTGGTGCAGCTCTCAGCAGCTGCCTCTCGCCCACGGCGCTCCTCCACGGTGACATCCACGGGTGGCAGTTCCCAGCTCCCCAGCACCTGTCCTTCCACAAACTGACACTTGGTCACCCGCTGTCTGAAGCTGGGATGCTGCCCTGTGCAATTGTCTCCACATCTGCACCAACTCTGCAGAAGTGGCTCTTTCAATCAACTTAAGATTTTAGAACACTAGCCCTGAAAGGAAGCTGAGATCTACTTGTTTCTCATATCCCACTCCCACCACTGCTGCTCCCCACCTCCCACACACACACACTAGGAAGCCAAGGGTCAAGGTCCGGGGACTTAAAACACCTGAACTCAGAGCTGACTACTGAACACATACACCAGCCCCCCAGTGGTCCTTCTGCCATGTGTCTCCTGAGGATGAGGATGGTGATTCAGGATCACATGGTACTGCGCAGACTCACTCCTCATGCCCCTTTCACTGTTATTTTGCTGGAAAAAGAGCACCCTCATACTTGCCATAGGAAGCCTTCCAAGGAAATGTGGTGACAATTTGGTCACTTCACAATGGCCCTGTCTAAACTTGGGCACTAAAGGACAATGACAAAGAAGCAGTGGAAGGATCGGGGTTTTGGCAACAGCAGGTGACATCCTTGCTACTTACCAGTCTCATAACTGTATACAGGTCATGTCAACATCCTCATGTTCCAGGGTTACGCTTGTTAGTGTGTGAAAACAATTGGTCCACAGTGAGTGTGTTGGGACTAGGGGATAAAGCAAAAGCCCCACTTTTCTTCTTGTAGATAATCCCCTCCTGAGAAGAAACAAGGAGCGGACGTGAGAACAAGTTCAAGGTACAATCCTGAGGGTTCTACATCCCCAAGCTAACTAACCTTCTAAAGGGACCCTGAACTTTAAAAAAAGAAATTTTTTTTTTAAATCCCAGCATTTTGTCAAATGGACTCTAGCGATCATTTGGATTTATATTATTCTTTATCGTTTATAAAAAGCTTTTTCTTTAATGAATGACAGTCATAGAATTACTAAGCAGTGGATCTGAGTTTGAACAAAAATCTTCTAACTCATTCTAGTGTCTTTCATCAGTTCATCATTATCTAAAAAGTACTTTCTGAAAGAAGGAAGGGTGTCCATGGACTGTAATGGTTTTGAGAAAACCAAACCAAACGGAACATTAAAGGTAGAAGACATCTTATACTATTAGGAAGCCAATGCCACATTTTATACACAGGACAGTGAAAAGGCCTGGAGCTTTCTAGAATTCATGAAGCAATCTGATGTCACATCCTTGGCTGGAATTTGGATATCCAGCTGCCCACACTTCATCTACCCAGGACACACGCACACTCTCCTGCGAGCACACACATCCCTGATTTAATCAGACAAGCCATTTTCTCCACGCGGGAGAGCGTTGTTGGCCAACTTATCCTGAAGATCTCATTCCCCTTCTTTCTTTAGCAATAATGAACAAGTGCATTGGCATGTGATGTAATTCAGACCAAGGAAAAGGGAGAGATGTAGTGAGAGGCTTCTGCGTGAAGTTCCCTTTCAAAGACACAAGAAAGAGGCAGCACATTCTTTTGCCTCTGGATGTTGTTGTGTGTGGACATGATGCCTTGAACTGCTGCAGCCAGTTTGCAACCCTGAAGAACCAGCCTTAGAATGAACCCAATTTGGAGGAAATTAATTAATTGCCCCTGCCGTATTTAAATGTAACATTTTGTCTAAGCAAAATAACATATTCTTATAATTTCAAACCACTTCCAGTTGTAGTATCAGGCATTGTGCTTAAATAAGGAATAATGAATGAAATTTCTGTATGGGTGATGGATATGTGGATTAATATAAGCATACAACTATAATCATCTATTATTTAATCCTTATGATAATCCAGGGTAGAAATTATTATTATGTGTGAATTACAGATAAGGAAATTTAAGCTTAGAGAAGGTAAATGATTTGCCCAAGGTCACACAACCTTGTGAATGGCACAGCAGATTCCAACCCTCCTACCTGATTCAAAGCCCAAGCATTCATTTGCTTCCTAATGCCATTTAGAGATATGGGGAATCTCTGGACAGTAACAAATTGTTTCCATTCCAAAGTCTGACAGTACTCATAGTAATTTAAGAACAGAAGTAATGGTGAAGACCCAGAGAAGGGCTTTGTGAACTCTCTAAACAAAAGCAAAGCTAATGTATCTATTTACTGAGCAGTTACTCAACAGTCCAATGAGAGAGAGGTGGGATGATAGAGCAGTCTACCCTCTAATTCAGAGCACTTTTGAGAGTGAAAAACATGCCACTAATGATTAAGCCAGGACAACAGGCATCCACTCAGCCTGTTTGGGGTTAAACGAGATGTATGGTCAACCTAGAGATAGCCAAGGAGCACACCCCAAGTTTCCTTCTGTTAGAAACACCATCCTAAAGAAAAATGCTTATGAAATGCTGGAAAATGTCCCATCGTTTTCCTGTGTAACTCTTATCTATTTCTATACCCTCTCATAATACATTTAATGATTAACAATCTGTTCTGAAATTAAGAGAAACAAATCGAGCTAGGAGTTGGAGAGTAACTTGGGGATTAGAAGCAAATAGCTCCAGATAGGCCTCAAGCTAGACGAGCAGTAATAAGGGTACTTATCATTTTACCAACTGACAGGCAAAGAAGAACAATGTGGGAGAGAGGAAACTGTGCCATGAAAAATTGAAATAAAGGAGAAAACAAAATAGAGAGGAAATACAAAAGAGCTGGTCCTGAAAGAGCGCTGGTATCCAGGAGCGTATTTTACTTGCCCTATTTCACCATAACCCTGGGATACTTTTAATTACTTGGCTCTTTTACAAACAGCGTCTGACTATTTTGTCAGAGGGTCAAGGATAACAGCAGGACCTGCCCTTTCCTTGTGCTTAAAGGGACACCACCCCCATATACTTTCAGGGACACCCAACCTAGAATGGCTCGTCAAGAAGCACACGCATTTTTCCTGAGCGATCTTTCCCCAAAAAAAGCCTCTCCCAGAGGCTGTGCTTGCTAAGCTGGCGAGAAGAAGTCGGCAGCATCAGACACTGTCTAATAACCCAGAATGAGATTTTGTCTGAGGTGCAGCAAATGCTTAGCTGATCTCCTATTTGGTACTCGCACTGAGACATGTCCAGATAATGGAATTAGAGGACACAAAAAGAACAACCAATGAATACAATGTTGACAATAAAAAGAAATACATTTTGGAGAAAAAGAAGGCTTGAGTTTTTCTTTTGCCTTCTTTCCTCTCAGTTTAGGAAACGTGCCCTTTTTTCTGAAGCAACATTAATAATGGTTTGCTCATTAACCTATTGGGGTGAAACAGTCACTTAATAAATTCCAGTAAGATTTAATCTGAGAATTTATTATACACTACAGTTAATTAAACGGATGCTTGTGTGAAAAATCTGGCCTCTTACTACATAAAAAAAAAAAAAAAATCATGTCCAGAGTGGGGCTAGAAATGATGAACATTTTCATATTTTAATTTGTTAAGTTTCATAATTCGCTTGTCTCCTTAACTGTAAATCTCTAAAATTGCTCAACCCCAATTAAGAAAAATAAAAAGCAAATCAAGAGTCAGTATTCATAGAGGAATGCTGTTGGCTAAGGCCCCAGATATTTTTTTGTATCTCTGGTGAATTGCTTGTAAAATTTCCAGGAAGTTTGGGAAAACTTTGCATTGACATCACTCAGAAAAACTTGGAAAAGATTTACCAGGGTAAAGACTAGAGGTCAAACTGACTGTCTGGGGTACTGATCCTGTGATATTTGTAGACTCACTTAATGCTGATGAATTTTGCAGAAATTTTCCTTTTCCCCTTCCTCCTTGCAGTTGCAGCCACTTTACTGTAGAATATTTTAATAATTTAACCACATTTGATTTTATCTTAGCTCTGGGCTTTCTCCCTTCTCAGGGTTTCTTTGTTTATCTTTATTAAAATAAATATTTGTGAAAATAAATACTTTTGAGGTATGATACGAAAAAGCAAGAAAACTAAATTTTAGTTTTAAAAAACTAAAATTTTTAGTTAAAAAACATATTTTCAGCCAACACAGTTAATAGATTGATACATTAAAATACTATAAATTGTTTTTTATATTTAAAGTTACCATGATTTAGGGGGTTGCCTCTTTGACTTTAGTTTAAAAACAGTCACTTCAAAAAGCCCTTTTCACTGGCTGGGAATTTCCAATTCCTATATCTCCATTTTAATGCGTACAGATAAATGTTATATTTCACAGGAAATCTTTTAGAAATTTATAGTAATCTTATAAATTAATCCAAAATGATAAAGTATTAAAATAGTAGATTAAACTCAGAAAAATATATTTTCTTAGAGAAAAAATTGTCTCCTTTAAAATACTGCTTTTAAATGTGAATCCCACAGACACATGCTGTATTTGTAGGAATATATGTTTAAGAAGAAACATGTGGGGCTGGGCACGGTGGTGCATGCCTGTGGTCCTAGCTACTTGGGAGGCTGAGGCAGGAGGATCACTTGAACCTGGGAAGTCGAGGCTGCAGTGAGCTGAGATTGCACTACTGCACTCCAGCCTGGGCGACAAAGTGAGACCCTGTTTCAAAAAAGGAAAGAAAGGGAGAGAGAGAAAGGGAGAGAGAGAGAAAGAGAGAGATAAAGAAAGAAAGATAGTGTTCACTACATTGTACGCTTAGCTGAACACTTTTTTGTCACATCTTTGTTGAGATAGAAGTCACATGTCATACTATTCTATCATGTGAAATGTGCAGTTCAATGCCTTTTACTGTATGTGCACATATGCACAGACACATTCAGCTATCACCGAAGGCAAATTTTCATGACCTCAGAAAGAAACCAAATAATATCTGAATTTAGATACTTTGTATTCCTTTTTATTAAATGGTTTAAATGAGATTCTGATAAACGTCTTTTCATCTTGCTATACAATAACTCCTAAAAAATTGCTTTTAAATTATTAACACTAGAAGTTACTCTGTATCTTGTGAACACTTTCTTTACAACAGATAATGTATTGGCCATGTAAGATATCTTCTCATTCTAAAATCAATGATCAAAGAACTAAGAGTTCAGTAAGAATATGCATGAGTATTCGTTCAATATAATTATTATTTTTTAGGAAGAATGAATCAGGGAAGATTTATTATAGATATTCTGGTAGAAAACTTTCACAACTGATAAGGACTCCAGGCATGTTCTCCATCATTTCATGGTAGTTACTATTTGTGAACACTCACTGTAGAGCATTTATGTATAAAGTGCTTAGCAATGGGTCTGACAGACAATGTGAAGAGCTCTTTAGGTATTCATGTTTAATTAACTCTCATGTTTATTTATCCCACAGTTTATAGATTAGATGTCAATATCTCTTCCAGTTTTCAAGTGGAAGAACTGAGGTTTGAGAACATTCTCGAAATTTCTCCAGATCACACAACTAGGGAGTTTCAAACCACTAGCCTACTTTTAAAGTTAGTTTCAAGACTCCAGAGCTTAAACTTTTGTTCTCCAAGATTTTACCATAAAGAAACTTTAGAGGGAATCTTAGCCATCTGGATTCTCCAATTATATGGTATTTGGTTTATCACATATCTACCCATTATCCATCCCTCTATCCATTCATTAGCCCATATCATTTTTAAAATTTATTCCAAAGTAACAGACATCAGTACACTTCCCCAGTGTATTCTGCATAGCCTCAGAGTTTATTATTTGTTTACAGTTATTTTGTTTTCTTCTTAGGTAAAATTGACAATCACTGAAATGTATAAATCTTAAGTGTACTAACAAACACATCTCCCTATTTAGATCTAGGACATTACAATCTCTCCATGACTGGACTCTTAAACTTCATGACTCTATAATGCTAGGTGGTGGTTTGTTACTCTAGTTGATAGATAGGACAATTAGTCTGCTGTCACAAACACAAACTTTGGAACTAGCTTCATACCAACCTAAAATGTCAGGGTAGGCATTATTTCATTCATGAGAAGGGAAAATCTCAGGTTAGAAGAGTTCACCTGAATGTAGCACAATTTAGAGAACGATGAAAAAGCATTGTTAATATTGTTAGGGAGAGGCAGTAGAGCAGACCCCAGGTTCTGATGTCAGGCAGCTCAAACAGTTAAGTCCTGGCTCACATACTTTACAGTCTTTCAGCCTATGCTCCCGTGTCTTCATCTATAAAGTGGAAGTAATAATAGTATGATGGAAGATGATTTGTGAAAATGAACACAATAGTCTTCCTGGATCTATGTCTTGCTGTAATGTGACTTCACAACTCCTCCATCACAAGGTGCAGTCTGCTTTCCCTTTCCTGAATCTGGGCTGTCCTGTGACTTGTGACTTGCTGTAGGCAACAGAAATGCAACAGAAGTTGTGGCCAATTCTGAACCCAGACATCAAGGATCTCGTGTGCTTCCACTCCTGCTTTTAGAAAGCTTAAGATGGGATGTTACCAAGGAGACACCACAGGGAACCAAAAAAGCTAATATAGCTGAGGCCACTCTAGACCAGCCAGCACCCCAGCTGGACAGCAGCTGACCACGGACTCATGAGGGAGTCCGGATGAAGCCTCCTCCTCACAGTGAACTTGAGCTTGAATTGCCAACCCACAGAGAATCAGGCACTAAATAATTGGTGGTTGTTTTAAGCCACCAAGTTTTGGGATATACAGCAATAAAAAACTGTCGCAAGTCTCTATTTCACAGAGGTATTGTGAGGATTTTTAAAAGGTAATACATGTGAAATCCTTTGAGCTGTGCATGCCCATATAGGAAGGAAATGACCAGTAAACATTAACTACCGCAGTCATCATCACTGTCCTCCACATCAGTGTTCTTAAGGCAAAACTGCTCTAGCTTCTTAATGGTGACACTGAGATCCACTTCCTCCTGCCTACAGTATATTTTCCTTCTTTCCTTAGAAATGTCTAATCATTTAGCTTACATGTCATATCCTTGGAATAGTCTCCTTTGGGTTACTTACCAAAGTAGCTTTGTCTTCTTGTAAGCGCTTTGTACATTTCAGTCTTCCCATACTGTACTGTCTATATCAATATTGGTGTCTCTCCCCACCCCACACTGTATGAATCCAAGGTGTATCTCATTCATGTTTGCACATAGCACAGTACTCAACTAACATTTATTGAATAAACAGTCAAAAATAAAAGGCACATGACATTTTATTCCAGGAGCTCAAGGACCATGTTTATTTTGGTGTCCTCATTTTATTCATATTGTGTATCAGCTTCATCAGCTAATTTCTACTTATTTTCAGGCCATATACCTTCTTCAAAATAATGACATGTAAATTTCACAACTATTCCTGGAACCCTGCATTATAAAAATATCACAGCCTCTCTAAAAAACTCTTCATCAGAGCCCATCCATACTTTAAATTGCTTTAAGTTACTTTTCAATGAGATTTATGCCATGAAACATAACATTCATAATTGAAGGCCTTTAATTATGGGAGGAGCATATTCATGTGTTGTTAAATGAAGCTGTCCACTCAGATCCAGGTAAATATTAATTTATTTACAGTTAGATCCAGATTCCCCTCTCTGTAGAAAGAGACAACTTGGTTATTTGGGAAGCATGTAGTGAAAAAATAATTAGTAAATAAAAAATATGGCCCGGGTCACTAAGGCCCCAGGAGAAAATATTATAATTACAAATCACACACAACTCAAGGGATTTTCTGACTTGTCCATTCATCCATGATTATTGGTCTTTGCTTCCTTCTTCTTTCCCTACTCTGCTTGGTCACATGTAACCAGGTGGCTCTGCAAATCACAGAAAGCACAGGTAGAGCAGGAATTATATGAGGAGGAGGGAGGGTGAAGGGCAGGCTCTGTTGTCGATTTTAATTAACAACTTTTGAAGGTAAATTTTGCAACGCTCTTATATGGAATGTGTGCTCAGTAGCTGTGTTTCATCAGGCTACTCAAAAGAGATGTTTGATGAAACATGGGTATGGTGGAAAGCAGAAATGTGGAGGCAAGCTGTGTACTTCCAGCTCTTAGGCTGGCTTTTCCCATGGGCCCGGAGAACCATGACTTTTCTTTGGCTTCATTTCATTGCCCTCCCTTGTCTGGCTCCTTTTACTCATCTTTTGGGAGCCATCTGGGAAGTATATCCCCCAAGAAAACTATTACTCAAATATTCTAGATTGAACAAGTCTCTCCAGTTCATATTTGTCCCTACTCAAGGATCAATAGGACTGTAATTGTTTGTCTCTGCCAGTAAAGTAAGGGATGTTGTTTTGGCTTTGGTATTAATTTTTCATTTTTGGTTTTGTACCCTGCATCCAACACCTCAAACAGAAAAATTATTCAGTAAAGGGTGGGGGAATGAACACGTAAGGAATATGTCACTATGATGAGCTTTGTGAGGGATCCAGAGTGCTGCCACGTGCCCCCTCAGGACAGTCACTGTCACCTTGGGGAGATATGACACCCACATACCTAGAATCAACTCGTTTCATACATGCAAGTCTTCTCTAGCTTGATGTCTACCTACAGTGTTGTTGAGGATCTAATTGTTTTGACAATTGTGATGGGGAGATAATAGTAGCAGAATATAAAGTTTTAGGAGACAGATTTAACTGGTTCTAAAATTATAGTCAAAATCTGCAGTCTATGTTTAAGTGTGCAAATTAATTATTTATCTGGACCTACTTTATTTTTAATGTAGGTTATTGACTGTTAAGTGAGTCAATACAGTCAATATGGTTACAGCAGGTAGCCTAGTCTCATAGTCAATATGCAGCTCCAATCCCCAACTCACAACAATAAAAAGTGAATCGATAAGCATGAGCTGCCAAAGCAAGAAAAAACAAATGTCTCCAAAAAATGTCCTGTGTATCCTTTCTTACATTTTAGAAAGTCTTCTTGATACCTTTTAAATTATCCAATCCAGTGGCATTCATCCATCTCCAGAACTTTGTCATCATCTCAAACTGAAATTTTTTACCCATTAAACAACAGCTCCTCATTTTCTCCTCTCCCTCAGCTGCTGGCAGCCACCACTCTGCTTTGTTTCTATGAATTTGCCTCTTCTAGGTACATTATATAACTGAAATCACACAATATTTTTCCTTTTGTGTCTGGCTTATGTCACTTAGTATAATGTCTCCAAGTTTCATCCATGTGGCAACATATGTCAGCATTTCATTCCTTGTTAAGGCTGAATAACATTCTATTGTATGTTTGTGTATTTTTGTCATCTGTGGATAGACATTTGGGTTGTTTCCACCTTTTGGCTGTTGTGAATAATGCTGCTGTAAACACTGGTGTTTAAGTATCTGTTTGAATCCCTGCTTTCCACTATTTGGGACATATGGCTAATAGTGGAATTGCTGGACCCTCTAGTATTTCTATGTTTAACATTGTGAAGAAGTGCCATATTGTTTTTTACAGTGGCTGAAATATTTTACATTCCCACCATCAATATACAGGAGTTTTAATTTCCCCGCATCCCCACCAACACTTTTTATTTCCAATTTTTTTTAACATAGCCATCCTTATAGATGTCAAGACATGTATCATTGTGATTTTGATTTGCATTTCACTTGTGGCCAGTGATATTGAATACATTTTCATGTACATATCGGCCATTTTTATATCTTCTTTTTTATTTTTGTTTTTTAATTTTTTATTCTTTTTAGAGATGGGAGGTTTCCCTATGTTGTCCAAGATGGTCTCAAAATCCTTCCCTCAGGTGATCCTTCCACCTCAGTTTCCTGAGTAGCTGCGATTACAGGTGCAAGCCACTGCACCTGACCATTTTTTTATCTTCTTTGGAGAAACATGTATTCAGATAGTTTGCCCATTTTTTCAATTGAGTTATTTGTTTTATTGTTGCTGTTGAGTTGTAGAAGTTCTTTATATATGCTGGATATTAATATCTTACTATATATATATGATTTGAAAATATTATCTTCCATTCTGTGGATTGTCTTTTCATCCTCTTGATAGTGATCTTTGATACACAAAATTTTAAATTTTGGTTAAGTTCAGTTGGTTTTGCTGTGTCCCTACCCAAATCTTAACTTGAATTGTATCTCCCAGAATTCCCATGTGCTGTGGGAGGGACTCAAGGGGAGGTAATTGAATCATGGGGGACGGTCTTTCCCATGCTATTCTCATGATAGTGAATAAGTCTCATGAGATCTGATGGGTTTATCAAAGGTTTCTGCTTTTGCTTCCTCCACATTTTTCCCTTGCCACCGTCATGTAAGAAGTGCCCTTTTGCCTCCTGCCATGACTCTGAGGTCTCCCCAGCCATGTGGAACTGTTAAGTCCAATTAAACCTCTTTTTCTTCCAAGTCTTGGGTATGTCTTTATCAGCAGTGTGAAAAAAGACTAATACATCAGTATATCTATTTTGTTTTTGTTGTTACATGTACTTTTGTTGCCATAACAAAGAAATGATTGCCAAATCCAATGTCATAAAGTTTTTCTTCTATGTCTTCTTCTAAGAGTTTTACAGTTTTAGGTTTAGATTTGTTACCTATTTTGAGCTAATTTTTGTATATAATGTACGGTAACAGTGCAACCTTATTCTTTGCACTTTGATATCCAGTTTTCTCAGTACCATTTGCTGAAATGACTATCCTTGCCTCATTGAAAGGTCTTGGCACCCTCATTGAAAAACATTTGCAATTACAGCAGGGTTTATTTCTGGGCTTTCTGTTCTACCTGTATCTTTTTTGACGATTTTTCATGCACTCAGAAACTGTATATGCTGGTACTATACACTATGCAAGAAAAAAAAATCAGAGAGGAAAATTAGAACCTTTAAAAGATGGTGTCTGTTACTGCTTGCTGAATAGTATACCCACAACAAGATGAGGAGCTACTTTAAGAACTAGAAGCAAAAAAGAAGTGACTCTCACTTAAAATGAATGATTCTTTAAGAATGTATTGAGCATTGCCAAGTATCCAACCCTTGGTGTTGAACTGATTGCTCTTCCTACATTACTTTTTGATTTTCTCTCATGGACAGTTGTCCATAAAAAAAGTTACAAAAATTTTCTCTTTTATACAATTTCCTTTCTATATTGGTTGGCATCATAAGAAATCTTGTGCTGACTGATTATTAAGATCTCCAATAAAAATAAAATACACACAAAAGAAGCTGCACATTTATATGTATATGTGTATGGGTTTATTTCTCTCTCCACCATCAAAATGTTTACCCATTATATATTTTAAGCAGTTGTGAATGCAGAGAGAAGAAAAGGCAAATTTTATTCAGCCAGATATAGCCTATTTCCTATAAAATCCTCAAGGTTATAATTTGGGAAGAAGGTGATTTCTCAGAGTTCCCATTTGTAGAGAAATGTTGACTCTTATCATATTCACTGATGTCCTGCACCACCCACCAGATTGGGAGCTGCAGCCTGGTTCATCGAAGCCAGCCATGGTGAGGTTTCTGCTGAAGATCTTCATGGTTATCCACAGAATCTCTTTCTCAATGTCTGAAGAACATCTTACCTATTTAATCAGCACTTGTACAACATTAACAACAACTTCATCCTTGTGTACTGATCATAAGTGCACACACATCACAACTGTTGTCCTTCAAGTCTTACCATCAGCTTTCCAACCTTTCAGAAGAATTTCTCCAATACTTCCCAGCCAAAGCCATTGTTCCAAACCCGCAGGTGGCTTGGCACTCAGCACCCAGCGGAATTCTAGATTCTTCAGCTCACTTCCTTCCCTTGGCCGCACTCTTGACCCAAGCCTAAGCAGAAAGCACCTCGAGGCAGAGATTGTATTCATCTTTGGCACAATTTCATCCATTGTGCTTGGCCCTAGATGTCTCTTCCCTTAGATAAATATTAAATAATAACAAGACAATGACTGTTCTTTCCTCTGGAGGGAAGGGGATGTTTTCCACTATTTACTTTCACCTTCCTCTTTTTTCATTTAGACGTTATCAACCGAAACCTCAAATTTAAAAAATAACTTTAAAAGTGCATATACAAACTAAACTTAATTTTCTGTACATTGTTGTAGTGCCTTAAAGAAAATTTTTGATTTCTATTGCACTCTAGCAAATTATTAGTGCTACTTTGGATACTTAGGAAAAAATTATTAGAAAAAAAAGAAAGAAAACTTTAAAAATGAAATGAAACGTGTTCTAACCGCACTCCACGAGCACTCCATTTATTCTCAAAAGCCCTGCACATAGGCTGTGACAAGTAGGGTAAATGTAAAATTACGAGGTGTAGTGTTCATTTTGTTAACTATCAAGAAAAAAAAAAAGCAGGTCCAAATTCAGGGAGGAAAATATGAGCACTGTGAAATGCCATGTCTTCCTGCCCCTGGGAGATGTATTTATTGGAAATTATATTGCAAGGAAAAGGTCTAAATAAATTAAGGCCCTAGTTATTATGTCACATGTAACTGCATTGTAGAATATAGCCACAATTTTGCAGTTATGTAAACGAAGCTGTCAAGCACTTGTTATTTTAAAGCTGGATCCAGGCAGCTCCCCTGACAGCCCTGTGGTCCCAGCTCCCAGCCTGATTCATGGCCGGCGCTGAGACACAGGAAGTTCATGTCTGCTCTAATCTAAACACGGTGAAAATGGAACATAAGAAGCAGTGCAGAAAGGTAAAAATAGGCTAAACCCCATAACCCAGACAAGAACCATACAACACACTTGGAGGAAAGAGAAGACAAAATGTAAGCCTGTGAGCCACAGCACCAGCTTATGTACAATTAGGGATACCCAGGACAGGCCCCAGTGCAAAATGAAAATGAAGGGCTCCTTGTCTGAAAATTAAAAGAATTCTAAGACAGTGACAGCAGAGCATCAAACCAAGTGCAAGGACAAAGTGTGGGGCCCCGAGTGACTGTACAAGTCACAGCCCATGAAGCTGGACTTGGAGGTATCTTTTAAGCAACCGAATAGTTATACAGCAATGAAACATCAATTGCTTCAAATAGAAGGAAACTGCGTTCCTCATCTGTACTATTTCTTAACAGCATTGGGCATTTAAGTTGTAAATGTGTAAAGATATTTAGCTTTTACGCTTTAAAAGGTTTTTTTTTTTAAATGTGTGGTTTTATAGCAAATGCTTGCGGTCATTGTAATTCTTTCCATATTTTTCTACTGAGACATAGTAATCTGAATTGTGTCCAGCAGTGAAATCTGGACTCATTGTTTAGCTGGGACCATGACAGTATTGACTGCTCCAGGGACAGCCACGGGGGAAAAGGAATATTTAAAATATACCACTATAACTGTTTGTTTAGGGGCAGGGGAGGAGTTTGACCATTCCTACCCTAAATAAAGATAAGCTATGATTTATCTCCTATAACAAAAAAAGTAAATTTAGCTGTTCATACTTCTCATTTTAGAGGAAATTACACTTTAGCCTTATTATTACTCTGTATAAACAAAGAAAAGGCACAAAACTTTGTCTTCCATCAAAAGCAATAATTTACAATAGAGAAGAGAAGAGTCTACAGAGGCTGCAGATTTAAGCAGCAAATCTGGCTCTCAGAGTGCCTTCCTTTTTAGCAAGAGGATGAGTGTTTGTCAGGAGACCCAGAGCCACTCCCTCCAGGCCCTCTTTGTAGCTCAGCTCAGAGCAGAGACCTTGGTGTACCTCAGGAAGGTCTTTGGACCCGTCACATTATCTGCCATAATTTGCCTGCACCAGAGCCCTGTCAACAGGCAATGGTAGGCCATTCTGTTTAAACTGAAGTAATTAAATCTCTCTGCTCTCATAAAAATAAAGTAAAATAAAAATACAACTGCCTGCTGCCGGTCAGTGGAATTAGAATGAGTGGAGGTAAATTTTAATTTCGCAGTGCAAGTGTTAAATTATTGCCCTCTAAGCTGACTGCCAATTCTGCATGAAATCTCACCACATTTTAATAATTCGCCTTTTGTTTATAATGGAAAGAGACTTAGAAATAGCACATGTGTTATGATTTGGAAGGAGATTTTATGTGCAATTAGGGTCCTGAGAACCACAACAACATAACCACGTTCAGGTTCCCTAATTGGGCCAAGAGGAAACTATCATTTCTGAAATGATTTGGGAGCCTTAACCTTTGTTCAACTTCTCTAAAATACTTGGAATTATTTTGGTAGTGTCTGCTTATTCTCAACATTTCCATTTAATTTTAAAGCTATGCACTTTAGAGATGTGTATCTCTGTTATGTGAACACTGTTAATGACCAACCGCTTTCATTACATTATGAAACTGTCAAAAAAAATTGCCATTTGTAAGTGATTCTATGTGACAGTTTTTAAAAATTGTTTTTAATGTAATCTTAACAGAATTCCACTCTCTGCCAAGGATCAGAGCCAAATAACTATCAATAGGGAAATTATTTCTGTACAACCCATCAATAGAAAGCCGAACTTTTAGAAAAAGTCAATTTTGAAATAATAGTAAGTCTCTTAGATTCTTACTGATAGTCATTGGATGATCTCTAAATAGTCTCAAATATTCCTCATATTTATTGCATGCCACTACTAACTAGTAAAATCCAAATGTTAAATAAAATACCTTTAAATAAAGAAAGTAGAGAAAAATCACTTTAGTTTGTTTTAATCAATATTTTATTTCTTGCAAAGCACTATGACTGCAGTGTTCAAAATCAATGATTCAATGCATCCCTTGTAGTTCAATTGACTTGCTGCTCTTACACATTCTGCATTGCTATTAACGTAAAATGGAATTAAAATAGAGTGCTATGCAGTCAAACCTGAATAATCCATACACAGTTTATCCCACACCCCAGGGTATCTGCAAACACTGCTTAGGGACTGAAACAGTTTGACATCCTCCATATGCTATTGACTTGTTGAATCCCAAATTCTTTAATCTGAATAAAAATAGCATTTTCAAACTGACTCACATTGGAGTAGCCCAGCTACATCCAAATCAATAATTCCTTAGAGATGGAAGAATGCATACTAACCAAATAGAGCATGGTACACAGGCAGAGCTGAAGATAGATGGATATACATATTCCAATTGCAAGGTTTCAGCTCCGCCTGCATGGTACATACATATATATGGCAAGAATAAAAATCCAGATAACCAGAATTAAATTTATAGAAAACCTGCAATGGGAATCAGAAGATGAGAAGAAAATATGAAAAGAATTAGGAGTGGAACAGTAGGTGAAAACTGGTAAATCAATTCAGAGTAAAATTATTCAACTGTATGATGGGTTTATTCAGAATTTTTAATTTTCAAGCAAAGAATCATAACTTGTACTTATTTTAGATATTCAAACTGTATCTGGAAAGCAGTTTCCATTTTTATATATACTCATTTAAATAATTTTCTTTTTTACTGTGAGATTTTGTCTGAATTAACTTTGCTGCTTTTTTTTGCCAGTTTTACTGAGGTATAATTGAGAAGTAAAAATTGCATATACTTAAGGAATACAGTGTGACGTTTGGATTTATGTGTACACTGTGAAATTATTACCACAATTAAGCTAATAAACATATCTGTTACCTCACATAGTTATGATTTTTGTGTGCATACGGTGAGAACATTTAAGAACAACTCTTCTGCCAAATTTTAAGTATACAATATAGTATTGTTAACTACAGTTGTCATGCTATATACTAGATCTCCAAACTTATTCATCCCACGTAACTGACTTTTTGTGACCTTTTACCAACATCTCCCCTGCATGGCAACCACCATTCTACTCTCTGCTTTTATGACTTTGACATTTCTAGATTCCACATATAATATAAGTGAGACCTTATAGTATTTATCTTTCTGTGCCTGGCTTATTTCACTTAGCGTAATGTCCTCCAGTTTCACTCATGTTGTCACAAATGGCAGGATTTCCTTCTTTTTAAGGCTGGTAACATCCCATTGTATATGTCTGCCACATTTTCTGTATCCAATCATCTGCCAATGGGCTCTTAGGTTGAACTGGTAGCTTGGCTATTGTAAATAGTGCTGTAATAAACATGAGTTCAGATACCTCGTCAAGACACTAGTTTCCATTTCTTTGAATATATAGTCAGTAGTGAAATTTCTGTGTCACACTGAATAGGACAGAATATTTGCAAACCATATATCTGATAAGAAGCTAATATCCAAAATATATAAGAAACTCAAACAATTCAATAGCAAAAACCCCAAACCCAGTTTTTAAAAGTGGGCTAAGGCCCTGAATAGAGATGTCTCATAAGAAGACTTGTAAATGGCCCACAGGTATATGAAAAGGTGCTAATGTCACTAATCATCAGGGAAATGCCGATCAAACCCATGGTAAGATATCACATCACACCTATCAGAATAGCTATTCTCGAAAAGACAAAAGACAGCAGGGGTTGGCCAGCACTTGGAGAAAAGGGATCCCTTGTTCACTGCTGGGGGGAATGTAAATTGGGACAGCCATTCAGGAAAACAGTCTGGAAGGTCCTCAAAGTGTCAAAAATAGAATTATCTTTCCCTGGATGTGATTTTAGGAAATTTAAGAACAAAAGCACTTAGAATAGTCATAATCTTACATCTAAGGTAGCTCCCTGAATCCTCTATCTAGTCTTCACTTCCTCACAATAAAATTGGCCCCACAGAATACAAATGCAAACATACGTATATGCACACATAGGTATGTATGTGTTTATAAACATGCATCTCCATCTACATCTCTCTCTCTATATGCATGCATACCTGTGTGAATGAATACATATACATAGTACTCTGTATATGTATGCATGCATACATATGTGAATGAATACATATATACATATGCATTCAATGTTCACCAAGGTAACAAATTTAAAAATCTTAGATCCAGAAGAAACTTCAAGAAGTCTGCTAATCGTACACTCTGTCTATAAATACATCCCATTCTTTGACCATTTCAAAAGATATGGACATCAGACTAATATTAGTAATTATCAAATCTAGATTAAGTACTCGGGGATAAACTGCTCTATTTTTTCTGCTAACGTGCATGTGTTAAATGTTCATAATAAAATGTTAAATACAAGAAATTGTGGGCTAGTTTCTATTATAGTTTTTTTCTTCTTTCTTGTTTTGTTTTTGCTAATTATTTTGCCTCATTCCCAATAAAAATTACCACAATTTCCAATGCACATGGATATTCCCTGGCGTATAATTTCATAACAATTTTTCAGTTTATACTGTTAATGGTATTATTAACACTCTTACCACCAATTCATTCTGCAAAATAATATTCTTCTCTGTTGTTATATGACACTCATGAGTTCACTACTCCATACACAAATAAACACAAGAAGAACTGTATATTGCAGATATTTGACCAAATTTTATTCAATCTAAGCTGCTGTCACTACAAGATATACCATTATTTTATGCATTACTAAGAAGGAACCTTTTCCAATTAAACTATTGAAAATGCTCTCTCATACCTTTTTATTTTATTTTATTCTATTTATATTTTATTTCATTAAAAGCTCTTTTAGGATTAGATTTTTTTTATCATATAACACTTTTTATATAAAAATGAAAATAGAAACAATAAATTTGTGAATGGGTTTGTAACTTCAAAATACTTTGTAAAAATGTATTTCTAAAATTTTTTCACCTTCTACTCTGGTTAAGAGTTGTTGTCGGCCAGGCGTGGTGGCTCATGCCTGTAATCCCAGCACTTTGAGGGGCCGAGGCAGACGGATCATGAGGTCAGGAGATTGGGACCATCCTGGCCAACATGGTGAAACCCCATCTCTACTAAAAATAGAAAAATTAGCTGGGCGTGGTTGCACGTGCTTGTAGTCCCAGCTACTTGGGAGGCTGAGTCAGGAGAATCGCTTGAACTAGGGAGTCAGAGGTTGCAATGTGCCAAGATTGCACCATTACACTCCATCCTGGGCGACATGATCGATAGGTTTGCTCTGACAATCATGAGATAATACATGTAAAATACATGGATGGACAACTCCGTCTCAAAAAAGAAGAAAAAGATTAGTTGTCTGTGATTCTATACACAATGCCAAGCCTCACTATCATGAAGGGCTTTGGTGACACAAGAGTGTTCCACCACTGTCTACAAGATTTTCTTTCAAGCTCCTGACAGCATTCAAGTCCATGTGCATGTATCTGTGTGTGTGTGTTCTACATGTATAATATTACTTTTCCCCAGCTTTTCATGTTGAAAATTAGCAATCCTACAGGAAAGTTAAGGGAATTATACAATGCATACCTATCAACTTCAGTATGTTGCACATATTGCACAGTTGCTTTACCTTTCTCTTTCCACTTAAAGTTTGATGAACCATTTGAAAATACACTTACAGACACCAAGGCACATCATTCCTAAATATTTTAGTGTGCATCCTTGATGATGAGAATATTATCCAACATAACCACAACACCATTATCCTCCCTAAGAATATTTACATGAAACCAGTAGTACATGAAATCCATATTAAAGCTTCCCCAGTTGTTTCACAATGGTTTTGGTGGCTTTCTGCTCCCCAATCCAACTTCCAATCAAGTTGATTATTATATCTCTGAGTCTTTTCTCGCCTGGGGTAGTTTCTCATAGTGTGTGTGTGTGTGTGTGTGTGTGTGTGTGTGTGTGTGTGTGTGTGTATGTGTGTATGCCATTGATTTTGTCAGGAAGTCCATGCCTGCCTTTTTGTAGAATGTCTCACATTATGGGTTTGTTTGCAGGTTTCTCATGGCTATATTTAGGTTAAAGATTTTTGGCAGAATGTTACATAGGTGATGTTGTATATGTCTAATTGCATAACATCAGGAGGCAACTAGTATTAGTTTGTTCCACTGTTGATACTGGTAAGCTTAATCTCTTGATTAATTAGATGATTAATCTCAATTTATTTATATTAATTAGTCATTTAATATAAATTAATAAGTATCTATTGAGAGATGCTCTAAGACCTTATCAGTGTTCCATTCCTTCATAAACATATTACTCAATGCTTTTAGCACTCACTAATGCCCTCTGTCTAAATCAGTTATTAAGTTAGAAGTTACAAACTCTTTCACTAAGTTTTGATGCTGGAGCTTTCTTAATCTTATCAAAAAAATCAATAAAAGTATGTAGTGAACAATCAGTAATCACATATTTACAATAGTCTTTAAATGGTATATTTACCAGATTATTAGGAGGTTTCAATTTTCCAGTTGGCCATCAGGAATAACAATTTGTACTTTCACAGTGACAATTACTGTGTAATATAAATTTGGCCAACAGAGATGATAAAATTCCATCAACTACAAGATGTATTCTCAGTTCAGAGATAGTATAATGTGAAAAAAAAAGAGTTCATCTCAGAATGGATGAAATGGGGCAATTCTGATTTTAGCCAAGCAGTACTAGAGTTGTTTTTGACAGGGTCTTGTTCTGCCACCCAGCCTGGGGTGCAGCAGTGCAATCACAGCTCACTGCAGCTTTGAACTCCTGGGCTCAAGCAGTCCTTCTGCTTCAGCCTCCCAAGTGGCTGGGATTGCAGGTGTGCACCACTACACCCAGCCAATTTTTAAATTTTTTGTAGACAGGGAGTCTTGCTATATTGCCCAGGCTGGTGTTGAACTCCTGGCCTCAAGTGATCTTCCTGCCTCAGCCTAATTTTCATTTAAATACCAGGTAAAGTCACAAAAGAAGAGAAGAATTAGTGAATCACGTTTTGTTTAATTCTGTTGGGCATTGACTGATTTCATCTACTTTGAGAACATAAAAATACAATTAAATTAAGCTACAGGTGTAGACAGTCTTCAGTTTTATTTGGTTATGCCGAATGCATTCATTCACTTAAAAAACATTCTCTCAATATACTAATGGGCTATGTAAATGCTAGGGACTGAAGATACAATAAGAACTAAATTAAGAGAGAGAGATTGAGCTTGACAAAGCAACAATGAAACAAAAAGTTGGATCAGTGCAATGGCACTGGGTATGTAGAAACACAAAAAGAAAGCGTTAAGATCAACCTAGGGGTGGAATGAAAGCTTCCCAAGAAGTTAACATCTTCATTGATTCTTGCAGGAGAGGAAGAGTTAGCCATGCAAAGAATGTGGGAGGGAAGACAGAGGGAAGAGCACATGGAGAGAATAAGCACTGATAAAGCATTCTCCGTATTTCAGACACCCATCCACGTATTTCACATGTATTATCTCATATTTGTCAAAGCAACTGTATCAATCATATCCTATATTTATCCTTACTTTATAGATGATAGTACTGAGACTTAGAGAAGGTAAGGCATGAACCCAAAGGCACACACAAGAAAGTAGCAGAGCTGGGGTTTTCACTGTGAGGAGATAAAGAGGTATGAAAGGACATTGCAAGAAGAGGGTTGCTGGCTTGTTATGTCTGATGGCACAAGAGAGAATGTGGGAGAGGATCAGGAAATAAAATTCAGGAGGGGGTCTGAAACCAAATCACAGGGAATCTTTATGTCAAGTTAATGAGTTTGAACTTTATCCTGAAGAAGAGTGACAAGATTAGATTTGCATTCTAGAAAGATTACTCTGACGTCACTACAGAGAACACATTAAAGTGGTGTGAAGTCTAAGCTGTAAGTGATGAGTGTTGGAAATAAAGCAGTGGCAGACATAAGGAGACAAGGAGGCAGATTTTAAAAATAATTGAGCTCTGAAATCAACACCACTTGGTGGCCAGTTAGCAAAAGAGGGCAAGTTGGAAGGACACATTCTGCCCAAGCCCCAGCTTTCTGGCTTGGGAAACTGAATGGATGAATGAATTCCCTAGATAACCTAAGCACCAATAGAGCCTGCAAGGGAAATTATTCTTAAAATTTTAAAATGTTATATCCTAAAAATAACAGTCTTTTACCTAGAACATCAATGGTACTACTTCTTAAGATCTTTTTACATCATTTAAATTTGAGCCCAAGTTTTCTATTTTCATTAATATCTTCCCATGCTTCAATGTGTTGCAGGTCTTATTTCTTTGGGTTTTTTTCAATCTTTCCCATTTTTCTACATTTAATACTACCATGGAATATTGGAGTTGTAAGAACTTTTCTGATAAAACATCTCTCCTTAGATATTAGTTATCTATTAAAGGGAAACAAATTATTCTGAAACCAGAAACTTACATAACCATAGACATTTATTATCTTACATAGTTTCTGTAAGTTATGAATTTGGGAGCAGCTTTGCTAAGTGGTCTGGCTGGGCTTCTCTCATGAGGTTTCTGTCAAAATGTTGGCCAGAACTGCAGTCTTCTGAAGGCTCAACTAGGGCTGGAGGATCTGCTTCTAGGATGGCTCACTCCCACTGCTGTTGGCAGGAGGCCTCAGTTCTTTGCCGGGTGAATCTCTCCACATGACTGCTTGACATTGTGTCCTCATGACTTGGTTAGTTGGCTTCTCCCCAGAGTGAGTGAGCCAGGAGAGTAAGCATGGAGGGAGATACAATGCCTTTTATAACCCAGTCTTTTTTTTTTTAAATTATACTTTAAGTTTTAGGGTACATGTGCACAACGTGCACGTTTGTTACATATGTATACATTTGCCATGTTGGTGTGCTGCACCCATTAACTCGTCATTTAACATTAGGTATATCTCCTAATGCTATCCCTCCCCACTCCCCCCACCCCACAACAGGCCCTGGTGTGTGATGTTCCCCTTCCTGTGTCCATGTGTTCTCATTGTTCAATTCCCACCTATGAGTGAAAACATGCGGTGTTTGGTTTTTTGTCCTTGCGATAGTTTGTTGAGAATGATGGTTTCCAGCTTCATCCATGTCCCCACAAAGGACATGAACTCATCATTTTTATGGCTGCATAGTATTCCATGGTGTATATGTGCCACATTTTCTTAATCCAGTCTATCATTGTTGGATATTTGGGTTGGTTCCAAGTCTTTGCTATTGTGAATAGTGCCGCAATAAACATATATGTGTGCATGTGTCTTTATAGCAGCATGATTTATAATCCTTTGGGTATATACCCAGTAATGGGATGGCTGGGTCAAATGGTATTTCTAGTTCAAGATCCCTGAGGAATCACCACACTGATTTTCACAATGGTTGAACTAGTTTACAATCCCACCAACAGTGTAAAAGTGTTCCTATTTCTCCACATTCTCTCCAGCACCTGTTGTTTCCTGACTTTTGAATGATTGCCATTCTAACTGGTATGAGATGGTGTCTCACTGTGGTTTTGATTTGCATTTCTCTGATGGCCAGTGATGATGAGCATTTTTTCATGTGTCTTTTGGCTGCATAAGTGTCTTCTTTTGAGAAGTGTCTGTTCATATCCTTCGCCCAGTTTTTGATGGGGTTGTTTTTTTCCTGCAAATTTGTTGGAGTTCATTGTAGATTCTGGATATTAGCCCTTTGTCAGATGAGTAGATTGCAAAAACTTTCTCCCATTCTGTAGGTTGCCTGTTCACTCTGATGGTAGTTTCTTTTGCTGTGCAGAAGCTCTTTCGTTTAATTAGATCCCATTTGTCAATTTTGGCTTTTGTTGCCATTGCTTTTGGTGTTTTAGACATGAAGTCCTTGCCCATGCCTATGTCCTGAATGGTATTGCCTAGGTTTTCTTCTAGGGTTTTTATGGTTTTAGGTCTAACATTTAAGTCTTTAATCCATCTTGAATTAATTTTTGTATAAGTTGTAAGGAAGGGATCTAGTTTCAGCTTTCTACCTATGGCTAGCCAGTTTTCCCAGCACCATTTATTAAATAGGGAATCCTTTCCCCATTTCTTGTTTTTGTCAGATTTGTCAAAGATCAGATGGTTGTAGATATGTGGCATTATTTCTGAGGGCTCTGTTCTGTTCCATTGGTCTATATTTCTGTTTTGGTACAAGTCTATATCTCTGTTTTGGTTACTGTAGCCTTGTAGTATAGTTTGAAGTCAGGTAGCGTGATGCCTCCAGCTTTGTTCTTTTGGCTTAGGATTATCTTGGCGATGTGGGCTCTTTTTTGGTTCCACATGAACTTTAAAGTAGTTTTTTCCAATTCTGTGAAGAAAGTCATTGGTAGCTTGATGCGGATGGCATTGAATCTATAAATTACCTTGGGCAGTATGGTCATTTTCACGATATTTATTCTTCCTACCCATGAGCATGGAATGTCCTTCCATTTGTTTGTATCCTCTTTTATTTCATTGAGCAGTGGTTTGTAGTTCTCCTTGAAGAGGTCCTTCACGTCCCTTGTAAGTTGGATTCCTAGGTATTTTATTCTCTTTGAAGCAATTGTGAATGGGAGTTCACTCATGATTTGGCTCTCTGTTTGTCTGTTATTGGTGTATAAGAATGCTTGTGATTTTTTCACAAGCATTTTGCTTCTGATTTTGTATCCTGAGACTTTGCTGAAGTTGCCTATCAGCTTAAGGAGATTTTGGGCTGAGATAATGGGGTTTTCTAGATATACAATCATGTCATCTGCAAACAGGGACAATTTGACTTCCTCTTTTCCTAATTGAATACCCTTTATTTCCTTCTCCTGCCTGATTGCCCTGGCCAGAACTGCCAACACTATGTTGAATAGGAGTGGTGAGAGAGGGCATCCCTGCCTTGTGCCAGTTTTCAAAGGGAATGCTTCCAGTTTTTGCCCATTCAGTATGATATTGGCTGTGGGTTTGTCATAGATAGCTCTTATTATTTTGACATACGTCCCGTCAATACCTAATTTGTTGAGAGTTTTTAGCATGAAGCGTTGTTGAATTTTGTCAAAGGCCTTTCCTGCATCTATTGAGATAATCATATGGTTTTTGTCATTGGTTCTGTTTATATGCTGGATTACGTTTACTGATTTGCGTATGTTGAACCAGCCTTGCATCCCAGGGATGAAGCCCACTTGATCATGGTGGATAAGCTTCTTGATGTGCTGCTGGATTCAGTTTGCCAGTATTTTATTGAGGATTTTTGCATCGATGTTCATCAGGGATATTGGTCTAAAATTCTCTTTTTTTGTTGTGTCTCTGCTAGGCTTTGGTATCAGGATGATGCTGGCCTCCTAAAATGAGTTAGGGAGGATTCCCTCTTTTTCTATTGATCGGAATAGTTTCAGAAGGAATGATACCAGCTCCTCCTTGTATATCTGGTAGAATTCAGCTGTGAATCCATTTGTTCCTGTACTTTTTTTGGTAGGTAAGCTATTAATTATTGCCTCAATTTCAGAGCCTGTATAACCCAGTCTTGGGAGTCACTCACCATTACTTCCACCACATTCTCTTCCCTAGAAATGAGTCACTACATCCAGTCAACACTCAAGGGGAAGGAGAATTAAGGATTACCAAAGCATTGGGGGATATATTTTAAAACTACCACATCTTATAAATAAGTATTTTCATTCTATGCATTCATTCATTAAAAGTAGTTCTTAGTAATTAAAGTAATAACTCAAGGAATAGAATTGCAGTGGAAGTTTTCCTCCTACATCATTAGCTCAACACAAAGCTCAAGTATTTTGCAATTCACTTGTACCCATTTATGCAACAAGGGGTCCTGGAGACATTATAAATTTTGGAATCAAACAGAATAGATTAAGTACCAGCTTTGTGGGTTACATCTTTTAAATGTTAGAAAAATCTGCATTGTAGAATTACTGTAACATGTAAGTGAGATAATTCACATAAAATGTCTGGCTTGTATTAGTTATTCAATTGATATCATTTTTTTCTTCTTTCTATTTTCAGTTATTCTTTTTGTGAGGGGAGAATAAAAACCCAAGTAATTTAGAAAATGGATCCCTTTGTGTGGTTATGTATTTATACTACTACATCAGCTCTAAAAATAATAATATAGAGATGTATTGGATTGACATGGATAGAGGATCATGTTATATTAACTCAAAAAGCAGATCATAAAATATGCTTACTATGATTCATTTGTATGAATACATGTTTATGTCTATATTTACATATATACATATATGCATTAGTTTCCTATTGCTACTATAACAAATTAACACAAACTTATTGCCTAAAGGAATACAAATTTAGGCCCAGTGCAGTAGCTCATGCCTGTAATCCCAGCTCTTTGTGAGGCCAAGGCAGGAGGATTGCTTGAGTCCAGAAGCTCATGACCAGCCTGGCCAGCATAGCAAGACCCCATCTCTACAAAAAATACAAAGTTTAGCCTGGCATGTTTGTGTATGTCTATAGTCCCAGGTGCTTGGGGAGCTGAGGCGGGTGGATCTCTTGAGCCAGAGAGGTTGAAGCTGCAGTGAGCCATGGTCATGCCACTGCAGTCCAGCCTGGGCAACAGAGCAAGACCCTGTCTCAAAAAATAAAAATAAAAAAAGAAAAAAGAAACACAAATTTATTACCTCACAGTTTCAGAGATCATAAATCTGAAATAAGTCTCATTGCTAAATTGAAGGGATTAGTAGAACTACATTCCTTCTGGAGATTCTAGGGAGGAATCCATTCTTTTGTCTTTTACAACTTCTAGAGACTGTTCTCAGGCTTTGGCTTAAGTTCCCTTACCTCATCTTCAAAGCCGGCAGCACAATCTTGCCAACTCTCTCTGATCCTGATTCTTCTGCCTCACTGTTTTACTTACAAAGACCCTTGTGATTATATAAGGCCCACCAGATCATCTGGGGAATTCCCCCATCTCAAAGTTAGCCGATAGCAACCTTAATTTCTCCTGAAAACTGAATTCCTTCTTGCCAAGTAACATAACATATTTATAAATTTGGGGGACTAGAATGCAGACATCTTGGGGGGCCATTATTGTGCCTACAATGTATATATGTGTTTGTATATCTGTATACATACAGATATATTAGATAATATATCAAAATATTATCAATGGCTTTCTCTAGTAGAATTTAGTTTAAAATTAAGTATATTCTTTTTTAATCTGAATTTTCTGTTTTTCTATTCTATGCATGAATTAATTTAATGGAATGACAAAGAACAGATTTTTAAGACACTGAAAAGACAAGCCACATACTGAGAGGAAAAATTTGCAAAACTCATATCTGATAAAAGACGACCAGTATCCAAAAATTTATAAAGGACTGTTAAAGTTCAACAATAAGAAAAAAAGCCCAATTTAAAAATGGACAAAAGATTTGAAGAGATACTTCATTAAGAAGATCTACAGATGGTGGATAAGCACATAATAATGTCCGCTGTGATGTCTGTAGGGAAATGAAAATTAATTCAACATTGGCATTCCAGTACACACCTACTCGAATGCCAGAAATCTGGAACCCTGCAACAACCACATGCTGGTGAGGATGTGGAGCAGCAGGAACTCTCACTCATTGCTGATGGGAATGAAAATGGCACAGCCACTGTGAAAGACAGTTTAGCAGTTTGCTGCAAAACTGACCATTCTCCTGCCATGTGATCCAGTAACTATGTTCTTTGGTATTTACGCAAATGAGTTGGAAACTAACGTCCACCCAAAACCCTGCACACAAATGTTCATAACATCTTTATTTGTAATTGCCAAATACAAATCTTGGAAGGAGCAAAGATGTCATTCAATACGTGAATGGATAAGCAAACTATGGTACATCCAGGCAGTGGAATATTATTCAACAATAAAAATAAATGAGCTAGCAAGTCACAAGAAGACATAGAGAAAACTTAAGTGCATATTGCTAGATAAAGGAAGCCAACTGGAAAAGGCTACATACTGTATGACTCAACTATATGTTATTCTGAAAAAGGCAAACCTGTAGAGATTGAGAAAAGATCAGTGTTTTCCAGGGGTTCAGTGTGTTGTGGATGGAGTGGGGAGACTTAAGTAGGTTGAATGCAGCGGATTTTAGGGCAGTGAGCCTGTTCCATATGATACCATTCTGGTGGATACATGTCATTATACATTTGTCAAAATTTTTAGGATGTATCACAGAAACAGCAGGGTTTCTAAGGCCAACTATAAGCTTTAGTGAATGCAACAATATTGGCTTAACAATTTTATCAAATGTACCACGCTAATGCAAACTGTTTAAAATAGGGGAAATTGGTGGGTGGGGGCAGTTAAATTTCTAGGTCCACAGTCAAAACTTTTCTTTTTAAGATAGAAGATACTAAAAACCCAGGAGCTATGAATTAGTAATGTCTCTCACTACCCCACATAGACCTACTTGGCTTATATTAACTATTTTTACTAATAATATGAAATGCAAAAGCCATTAATGCCTTCATCTAAAATACAACTGGCTAAGTTTCCATCTCTGCACGACTTTTTAAGACACCAGACATGCATCTTACTTTTCTGGAGCACTCAAAAGAGCTTAATAATCCTTTGCAAACTGAGTTGCCAAAGCTGCGCCAGAATTTTGATGTTTCCATTAATAAAAGATATATGCCTGCAGGAGGTACAGATTTGTGATCTCAGGATCCAGAGTTTAGGGGCAAAGGGAAAACGGCTCGCATCTGCACAATGATTAAATGCATGTTCAGGGAGAGGAACTCTGAAGTGTCGCTACAGATCTCACAAGACCTATTTGGACCTGGGGCTTGCCCCTGCGGGATATTTTTGATAGCTTTATCTGTGTCAGACACTGGGGCCCCATCCATTCTCACTTATCAATATGACATAGTAGCTTCAGAGATGAAAATAAGATGAGGGGCCACAGGAAAAAAAATATAAAGGTCGGATAACCATTTCAGCAAGCCTACACGTGGCCTGACCAAAATGCAGTGTCAGGCAAAAAAAGATAAATCATGACAACCAAGCCCAAAAATAGAATCTATAAATAGTAAAGAACTGAAACTGCTCAAAAGAAAACTAGATGTAAACATACTTAAGGGCCAAATATTAAGTCCTATAAATATGTCAACTAGATAGGCTGACAGAGAGAGCACTGTGAAAATACAGGTCTGGGCATTTATTAATAAAAAGCTGGAGAAACTGTCACTCCATGAAGGTTCATTGTGTTTTTAAGAGTCGCTTGACAAAAACGTGTCAACTAATACAATCTGATCTTTAAATGTTTTAATCAATAATTTTTTATTGTCTTTTCTATGCATAAGGTACTACACTAGATGTTGCAGTAGAGAAACAAGAATCAGTTGAGTACTGAATTTTTTTTGCACATTAAAATAGCTTTATTTTTGTTCTTACAAAAACTCAAGATAATTAAAAATATCTATACAAATATACTAAAAATTAAAATTACTATCTAGAAAAAGCAATTCTTGACATTACTGGCTATATTATTCAGTTATTTAAATATATATAAAAACATTATGCAGTGTATCTATAATAAACATACAGTCTCGTGCTATATAACAGCATTTCAGCCAATGAAGGACCAAATACACAACGGTAGGTCCCGTAAGATTGTAATGGAGCTGAAAAATTCCTATCACCTAGTGATGTCCAAGCCATCAGAACATAGCAGCACAACACATTCTTTGTGTGTTTGTGGTGATGCTGGTGTAAATAGTCACCTGCTGTCCTGGTTTGTAGCCTAGGGGGAATAGGCTATGCCATACAGTCTAGGTGTGTAGTGGGCTACAACATCTAGGTTTGTGTAACTGTACTCAATGTTTGCACAATGACAAAATCATCACCTAATTACACATTTCTCAGAATATATCTCAGTCAAGTAATCATGACACATTTATGCATACATACATACATACACACACATATCCTTAGTATTGGTCTGCTAGGGCTGCCATAGCAATATACCACACTGGGTGGCTTAACAATGGAAACTTATTTTCTCACAATTCTGGAGACTGAAAGTCCAAGATCAAGGTGTCTGTATCTTGCTACCAAGATCCAACAGGTTTGCTTTCTTTTTCGTTTTTTTTCTTTTTTTTGGCTGGATCATATGGTAATTTTATGTTTAACTTTTTGAAGAAATGCCAGACGTTTTCCATAGTGCCTGGGCCATTTTACATTCCCACCAGTGATGCACAAGAGTTCTAGTTTCTCTACATCCTTGCCAACACTTCTTGTATCTTAGTAAACACACTTCTTGTAGCATTCTTCTGAGGCCTCTCTTCCAGGCTTGCACATGGCTGCCTTCTCACTGTGTCCGCACCTGATCTTTTGTCTGTGCTTGAGTATTTCTGGTGTTGTTTTGTGTGCCCAAATTTATAAGAACACCAGTCAGATTGGATTAGGGCTCACTTTAACAGGCTTATTTAACTAAATCATCTATTTAAAGCAGGGGTGTCCAATCTTTTGGCTTCCCTGGGTCATATTGAAAGAATAATTATCTTGGGTCACACATAAAATACACTAACACTAACAATAGCTCATGAGCTAAAAAAAAAATTGCAAAAAAACCTCAAAATGTTTTAAGAAAGTTTACACATTTGTGTTGTAAACACAATTTTACATTCAAAGCCATCCTGGGCCATGTGCAGCCCACCTGTTGTGAGTTGGACAAGCTTGCTTTAAAGCCTCCATCTCCAAATATAGTCACATTCAGAGATACTGGGGACTAGAGTTTCAATGTATAAGTTTGGTGGGAGAATACAATTCAGTATATTATATATATATATGTTATATATATGTGTCATATATATAATTTCTTATATATAATGTCATATAATGACAAATATAATACATTTGAGAGATTTTTTAGTTTTATATAAGGATGGGATCATGTTAGGCATTCTGTTTTATAATGTTTGCTGATCCACATCCACTGACTAAGTACTAGGTATGAATGTAAGGTAATCTATTACCAAACTGCTCTTATTGAAATTTTAGATTGCTTATAATTACTTAATATATGTATAAAAATCTATCTATCTATCTGAACTCTATGATAGATACCCTACTATATACACTCATACATTTGGGGTTCGGGGTTATTTTCTCCTAGGAGAAACTCTTAGAAGTAGAATTGCTGGATTAAAGGGCATGCATACAATACTATAACTTGCTCTTAGAAAACTTTTATCAGTTTAAAAAAGAAGTTTGCCTGCTTTCCAACATCCTATATATATTATTAGTATTTATTTTAGACTTTGAAAATATAACAGATGGGAAATTCCATTTTGATTTTTAAAGTTTGCATTTCTTTGCTTACTACTGAAACTGAACATCTTTTTTTTTGTCAGTTTATTGTCCACTTTACTCATTTTTTAAAATTTCATGCTATATTTTCCACTAAGTTATTCCTTTTTTTATTGTCGATTTCTACATATCAGAATTAGTCATTTGCCTATCATATTCACTAGAAGCTTGTTATTTTTTTCAAATTTGTGGTTTGCCTTCTAATACTGTTTGTAGTGGTTTTCTGCCATGCTGAATTTTTTCGGTGGCGGGGGGTCTCCTTCTGTTTTTTATATAAGGTTTTTCTGTTATGGTTGTCGGCAAGCTATGAACATTTTCCCTATAGTTTTATAGTTGGCCATGCATGGAAACGTCTGCCCCACAGGAAAACTATTACATTTTCACCCACCTCCATCCAGTACTTTATGGATTATTTTGTATTTTGTTTTTAATCACATTATTGGTATTTTAGGTATACCTATGACATAACAATCTAATATTGTTTATCAAATATAATTAGCTTGCTGTCCTAATAATATTAAATGAAAAGCTTGCCTTTTATTTAACGGTTTGAGGGGCCACAATGATCATATACTATAGTCTTCTCTAGGCTCATCTTCATAGATTTTAGTCTTTTGAGCTTGTTTCTTCATTTATAAGAGAGTAAGCACTGAACTATGTCCATTTACTTTTCGAATTTGTCACAATGGCCATGAATTTTTCTCCTCTATCTCACTAATGTGAGGAATCATGTTACTGTATTTGCCAGTGTTTAATAAGATCACATTCTTGGCTCAGTAAACTTTCTTAGATATAATCTTCTTTTGTTTTTTCTCAATTATTTTTAATTAAGATGATATTTGAAACATAAAAAAGAACATAGGTAATATATGTAAGTTATAAAACATAATGACAACAAGAACTCTCAAGAAATCTTGATCCAGCTTGGGAATAAAAGCATTTTCATTATCTTCCATTCACTACTGTATATTCCCCCTATATTAGTCCGTGCCTATCCCCCACAAAGTTGACCCCTATCCGGACTTTAATGATATGATATTCCTTAAACTTGCTATGTGGTTGAGCATGCTAATGTTTTCTAGAAATGTTTTTATCTAATTCATTGGTGAAAATGGTTTATACTTTTCTGCATTATCTTAGTAATGTTTAAAATGCCTTAGGAAATTGAAAAAATTTCAGTACTATCTTAATATCATAGTACTTATCTGTTCCTTGAAGACTTGATGGAACCCATTCTTAAAGGCAAGGAGGGGCCAGGTGCACGCGGTAGCTCACGCCTGTAATCTCAGCACTTTGGGAGGCTGAGGCGGGCGGATCACCTGAGGTCAGGAGTTCAAGACAAGCTTGGCCAACATGGCTAAACCCAGTCTCTACTAAATATACAAAAATTAGCCAGGCATGGTGGCACATGCCTGTAATCCCAGCTACTCGGGAGGCTGACGCAAGAGAATCGCTTGAACCTGGGAGCTGGAGGTTGCAGTGAGCCAAGATTGTGTCATTGCACTACAGCCTGGGCGACAGAGTGAGACTCTGTCTCAAAAAACAAAAACAACAACAAAAAACCCAAAAACAAACAAACAAACAAAAAAAGGGCAAGGAGGGTTTGGGGGAATTCTTTCACATCTTTTCCCATTCTTTATAGTTTTTATTCTGTTTAGGAGTGCTTTATTGTGTGATGTTTTGTTTTGTTTGGGGATTTTCATTTTAACTCTATAACTTTATTTTTAATTATGTATATTTTACATACACAATGCACACATGTGCAAATATTTCAGCCCAAAATTTAAATTAACGTTTGCTTTTTATGAATGATCTCTCTATAAAATAATTCCTGGTGTTGGAACATGAATTTGTTTGTGGTTTTCTTGCTGAGTACTGAGGTTTTCTTGCTAGTTGCTGAGATTTTTCTAGGTACAGATTTTAGTTATCAATTTCATTATAATCTCCTTTTTAATCAATTACTTTTTTCACCTATAATAATTGTTTTATTTTTTTTTTGAATTAACAAATTGCCATTTCTAAGTTCTGGAGTTGATTTGTAGGAGAGACCATTTATTCAAACAAATTTGTTATGAAGAATTTTAATACAGAAAGAAAAAAAGGCAGAGATGTGTTGGCAAAAACAAAATGGACCAAATCTAGAACCACACAGACACAGACTGAAAGAAAACAAAGGCCAAAGGTTACACTGCACACTGTCCCAATGCTACGAATTTACAAATGGCTTAGTTATGTTCCAAATGAATCGTTTTGGCAGTTGCAGTGTTAGAGAACACAGTCTGTGCATTTGTGTAGATTGTTCTGTGTGAAGTTGCCAATCTTCAGCTGCATGTGATTTGTGAAAATGGCAGTTTTGCATGTTTCAAACTATACATTGAAAAATGTTTTCATGTTTTCCTTATTGGCAACTTTTGTAAATGTCTCAAATATTTGAAAATAACATGTTTTTTTTAATGAAGTAGTTTCTTTGTATGTTTCTTAATGTATTTGGCTGTATTATTCATATGCTACATAACAGTTATTTTTCAACTTGTGTCTACAAACCCCTTGAAGAAATTTGAATTTTCTTCAAATTATAGGCACTGTTCAATGGCAGATCAAATTGAACAGTGCCTATAATTTGAAGAAAATTATATTTACCATCATTTTTATTTGCCTTAACAACAATTCAACTTATTTAAAATTTTTAGATAACACTTAAAGAAGGTATAAAAGTTTAAGTTTATTACATGTGAGCATTTATTTTGAAAATGGCAAGAATTATTACTTTATAATTATTTTTGGTTACTTGATTGGTAATATAAGAGAAGTATCTGCCGGACACAGTGGCTCACGCCTGCAATCCCAGCACTTTGGGAGGCTGAGGCGGGTGGATCACGAGATCTAGGAGTTCGAGACCAGCCTGGCCAATATGGTGACACCCCGTCTCTACCAAAAATACAAAAATTAGCCGGGCGTGGTGGCTCGCACCTGTAGTCCCAGCTACTTGGGAGGCTGAGGCAGAAGAATCACTTGAACCCAGGAGGCGGAGGTTGCAGTGAGCCGAGATGGTGCCACTGCACTCCAGCCTGGGTGACAGAGCAAGACTCTGTCTCAAAAAAACGAAACAAAAAACAACAACAAAAAAACAAAGGCTGGGTGCGGTGGTTCATGCCTGTAATCCCAGCACTTTGGGAGGCCAAGGCAGCTGGATCACCTAAGTTCAGGAGTTTGAGACCAGCCTGGGCAACATGGTGAAACCCTGTTTCTACTAAAAATACAAAAATTAGCCAGGCGAGGTGGCAGGTGCCTGTAATCCCAGCTACTCAGGAGGCTGAGGGAGGAGAATTGCTTGAACCCGGGAGGTGAAGATTGCGGTGAGCTGAGATAGAGCCATTGCACTCCAGCCTGGGGGACAAGAGTGAGACTTTGTCTCAAAAACAAAAAGAAAAAGAAGTATATTGTATCTCCTTAATATGAGATCTTGTTTCTCTTAAAATTTATATAAGCTACTGTTGTAAATAGGGTATAATATTTTAGGTTCATAGCAGTACATGTATTCTCATCTCTACTGTAATTCATACATTTTATCTTAAGACAGCATTCTTTTACTTTGAATTCTTCTTTGATCTTAATATTGCTTTATCTGCTTTCTGTTGGTTTTCATTTGCATAGCATAGCTTGGCCTATCCTATATTTGCAGCATTACTCTTTTGCTTTTGTTTTACGAGCTATGTCTTAGAAACAGAATACATCTAAACCATTTTTTCTATCAATCTAGAAGTCTATTTATTTTAATAGAGTAATATATTCTACTTGCATTGATTTTAATAGCTGTATGTTCTTTCATTTAAATCTTTTCATATTCTCTTTATTAAGAAGTCTTCTTTTATGTTCTTGGCTTTTTTTTTTTTTTTTTTTTGAGATGCAGTCTCACTCTGTCACCCAGGCTGTAGTGCAGTGGCACCATCTCGGCTCACTGCAATGTCCGCCTTACAGGTTCAACTGATTCTCATGCCTCAGCCTCCCAAGTAGCTGGGACTACAGGTGTGCACAACCGTGCCTGGGTAATTTTTGTATTTTTGGTAGAGATGGGGTTTAGCCATGTTGGCCAGGCTGAGTCTTGAACCCCCGACCCCAAGTGATCCGCCTGCCTCGGCCTCCCAAAGTGCTGGGATTACAGGCGTGAGTCGCTGTGCCCGGCTGGGCTCTGTCTTTTCTACCACACAGCAGAAACACAATAAACACTTGTGAACATTGTGTGGATGGATAGGCTTCTGATTTACCCACTTGATTTTCTGAAATGTCCAACCTGCTTCTTTGTTGCCTCTCTGGAGTTGCTTAGTCCCTTGATTGTTCTTCATCTCCTATTACTGTCTTATATTTTAGGTTGTTCCATTTGGTTATAGTTAAAGCTGTCATTTCAATCTCTATGTTTGTCCCATTCCTTGAAGTGACTGTAGTTCTCTTTTGCTTTGCATGGTCATACTTCTTTACGATATATACCTTATGTACTATCTGAAAACTGTGGCTGTCCAAAAGAACAGTTCAAAATAAAGATGTTCTACCTCTTTCTGACACTTATTAAATCAGGCGGTGTGGGAGGAAATGAGGCATTTGTATTTTTAATAATACCACCAAGTGATAATGACCTACACTAAAATATTAGAATAATCACTCATATTAAATCATAAATAGAAAATGTTAGAAGGAAGTAAAAATTCAAGCCGTTGCTGTTTCTTCTGCTTACAGAATCAGAAGTTTAGGATGACTATAGTTTCAGTTTTTCAGATACAGAAACATTTTGGGGAAAAAATAAAGCAGGATCAGGAAACTGTCAAAATCCCACTATCTTCATTCCTTACAATAGCTGTAATTATAGGAGTCTAAAACAGAAACATTTGACAAATGTATTAAGCCACAGTGAACTGTTTACTTTTCAACAACCCTTTCAATTTAAGAGGGCATAAATAACATTTACCATAAATTACAATGTGTAACTAAGATAAATAACATCTTTAAAATGAATCATCTCCATTCTAGAATAATTTTATGAGAAATAATACTTAGCATTTAATGAAATTTGGTTAACACCATTTATCAATCGTAACATAAAACTATTATATTAACCTAAAGGAATTAGTGGCCCAGTACAGCACACATCCTAGATGCAACAGGAAACTTTAATTGTCCTAGCAGTGAATTCTTACCTTAGCTAGCTTAGCCATTTAATTATATTAGCTTATTTTGCAAATGCTCCCAGACTTTAATTGATTATTTTATTTTATTTCTACAAGAAATTAGTAAACTGAATGGAAGATCCACTTTCCTCCAAAACCCGTGTTACAGCTTTGTTTTAAGAAAGACAATTGCTATGAACTGAAAATTTGTATTTTTCCACCAAATTCAAATGTTGAATCTTCAGTCTCTAATGTGATGATATTTGGAGGCAGGGCCTTTCAGAGGAAATTAGGTTTAGATGAGGTCATGATGTGGAGCCCCATGATAGAATCAGAGCCGTTATGAAAAGACAAAGAGACCAGAGCCCCGTCTCTCTCCCTGCTATGTGAGGAAACGGCAAGAAGGCAACCATCTGTTAACCAGAAAGAGAGCCCTCACTAGGAAGTGAATATGTAAGCACCTTGATCTTGGACTTTCCAGCCTCCAGAACAGTAGAAAATAAATGTTTGTTGTTTACACCTCCTAGTTTATGATATTTTGTATAGCAGCCCAAACTTTCTAATATAGCAATCTGTTTAGCAACTCGAGTAACATGAAACTACCTACTATTCTCTGCAAAAAGCAATTCAGATCATCATGAAGGAAATATGTGTTCTCATTTGTGGTACTTTGGAGTACTGAGGCAATTCAGGGGCCAGTAATGACATATCTTGACTAGTGGATTAATGCCTTTATGAATATGCCCATAATAGACCACCACAACCATTTAGGTGTCTGAATTAATTATTACGACAAATTAGTGTCTCTACTATTTCTTGAGGTTCTGCTATGTGCCTGGCTGCATTCCAGGTGGTAGAACTTCATGAATTCTTTTCCTTTTAGAGATTAGATTATAATACATGAAACAAAAATGAAATAAAGAAGTAAATAATAGACTGATAATCTAAGTATGGACATAGACATACCAGCCATGGCTTGTGTTCTTCAAGTGTAGGTTATAAGTAGGGGAGACGCTGCATGGCCCACAGAATGTGGCCCAGAAGAGCCTGAAGAAGGGACATTTGAACAGAATGCTTAATGGTCCTATGAAAGAAAGAACAAAAGTGCACATATGGCCCTGGGGCAGAAGTGAGCTCCATGTGCATGAGGAATGGGAGAGGAGGCCAAAGGGACAGTGGAGGCCAAATCACACAGGACTTTGTAGAATGTGATTTTAACACATAGGAGGTTTGAATGTGACTTTTTTTTTTTACAAGGAAAATGCAGAGAATGTGATTTTGGAATATGCTGGTGGGAGATGGTGATGATTTGGAGTAGGGTAATGCAGAGAAGGCAATGAGAACTGGTTGAATCCAGGCTATAAGTTGAAAGCAGAGCCTATGAGGTTTTCTATATACAGAATTATGTAATCTGCAAACCGGGATGGTTAGACTTCCTCTCTTACTATTCTGATGCTTTTTATTTCTTTCTCTTGACTGATTGCTCTGGCTAGGACTTCCAATAGTATGTTGAATTAGAGTGGTGAGAGAGGGCATTTTTATCTTGTGTGGGTTTTCAAGGGGAATACTTTCAGTTTTTGCCCATTCAGTAATGTTGGCTGTGGGTTTGTCATATATGGCTCTTATTATTTTGAAATATGTTCCTTTGATGCCTAGTTTATTGGGGGGTTTTAACATGAATGGATGTTAAATTTTATCAAATGCCTTTTCTGCATCTATTGAGGTAATCATGTCATTTTGTTATTAGTTCTGTTTATGTGATGGGTCACACTTATTCATTCACATACGTTGAACCAATCTTGCATCTGAGGAATAAAGCTTGGCCTATGTTCATCAAAGCTTTGGCCTCAAGTTTTATTTTTTTTTGAGTGTTTGTGTGGTTTTGAGTGATTTTCTTAGGGTTGATTTCTATTTTTATTGCACTGTGGTTCAACAATGTGGTTGGTATAATTTTGGTTTTTTTGGAACTTGCTGAGTATTGTTTTATGTCTGATTATGTGGTCAATTTTGGAGTGTGTGCCATGTGGCAATGAGAAGAATGTACATGTTATTGTCTTGGGGTGGAGAATTCTGTAGGTGCCTATTAGGTCTATTTGGTCAAGTGTTGAGTTCAGGTCGTGTATATCTTCATTAATTTTCTGCCTCAATAATCTGTCTAATACTGCCAGTGGGGTATTGAAGTCTCTAAGAACTTGCTTTGTGAATCCAGGTGCTCCTTTGTTGTGTGCATATATATTTAGGATTGTTAGGTCTTCTTGTTGAATTGAACCCTTTATCATTATATAATGCCCTTCTTTATCTTTTTTTTAATCTTTGTTGGTTTAAAGTCCATTTTATCTGAAATTAGGATTGCAAACCCTGTTTTTTTTTCTGTTTGCTGTTTGCTTAGTAGATTTTTCTCAATCCCTTTATGTTGAGTCTGTGGATATCATTGCATGTGAGATGGGTCTCTTGAAAACAGCATACAATTGGGTCTTGCTTCTTTATTCAGCTTACTATTCTGTGTCTTTTATTTAGGGCATCTAGCACATTTACATCCAAGGTTAGTCTTGATATGTGCAGATATGATCTGTCATCATGTTGTTAGCTGGTTATTATGCAGACTTGTTTTTGTGATTGCTTTATAGCACCACTGGCCTGTGTACCTAAGTGTATTTTTGTAGTGGCTGGTGACAGTTTTTCCTTTCCATATTTAGTGCTCCTTTCAGAACCTCTTGTAATGCAGGTCTGGTGGTAAAAAAATGTCAAGTCATAAGATTTGGGTAAACATTTGAAAGTATTTGTTTCTATGCAAAGAGAAATGATACTACATGATGGACTGGAAGATCTGGACAAGTTATTATTTAAACACTAGCTCTCACTAAGATACCTATAATCTCTTTAAGACAGTGTGACATAGTTTTGTTTAATGAAGCCACAATAAATGTGTTGATGATGATATAAAAATATTTATCACTTAAATATTAACTATACGATAGCTTTAGATAATTCCATTGTACATAGAAGAAAACACAGAAAAGGGCACTAAATAATCAGTTACTTGAGGTGCAGACATTGCTTTCTGCAGTTAGTAACCACATGTCATTGCAGTCCATCTCAGCACACATATCTTGGGCCACACTCCCCTTACATCACTGATTCACTCACTGTGACCATTGTACACACCAAGACAATACTCTGTTCTGTTCTGATTTCTCCCAACTCATAAAAAGTAATTTATTGGTTCTTTTTCTCCTCCAACTCAATCACATGTCATTTATATCATTTTCTAACTGTTTCATATGGGTCTTAGGAGCTCCATATTAGCCAGAATATTTTGTTAACTAGACAAAGAATGTGGCTCTTTTAAAATTTCAGGTTAAGTACCCTGTTTGGGGTTGGTACAGAAAGAACAGGCAGGGAAATGCCCTCTTGGCTGGAAGGAGGGGAAAGAATTGAGTACACATTATAAAAGTAATTATTCTCTTGCTGTAGAGTATTCAGAGAGAAAAGTAAGGCCAGAGAATTACTAAAAAGGAATTTGCTGCTTCAGTGACCCTGTTAGATACCTGTTAAGACCTTTAGCTTCCCCTATCATTTCCAACTAAATCTCAATGACAAAAAAGAGAAATCTAAAGAAACGGTGGGAATTATGTTAGAACTGGGCATTTTCGTCTTCAATGTCACTGTAGCTGTTATTCTCTGGCAGCTTAATTGTAACTAATTAGAATCTAGTTAAATAGAGAGACAGCATTAAAACCTTCTGCTTATTTTTTCTCCCTTGATGGTCAGAGTTGGTATTTATATCTTCTCAGAGAAAAGGAAGTTTGAGTTCTACGATCACTTGGAATTTTACTTTGATTTGTTTATTTTTGCTTCCAAATAATTTAAGCAGATTTTGACATTATGCTGTGGACTCTGCAAACCACTGTCAGTGCTCACTGCCAGGTCAGCCACTGAATCCACTCAAGGCAGGATAAAGCCCATCTATTACCCTGGTAGCTCTAATTGCAGGATCGCCAGAGGGTATCCATTTGGTCTACAATTAGGTCATTTCTCTCTCATCCCCTGCAAGTGTGTATAATTATAAATTAACTTAAAATCCCACTGTGAGAAAAGAAATTTGCTGTAATATAAAAGGAAAGACAAAACTGCAGGAAGTATGTCTTTAAAACCATTTTTTTCGTGTTTCCTTCAAAATTGATCTTGGAAATTAGTTTTTCATTCTACTCTTCATTTTCCTAGCTAGGAGCTTTATCATTGTATATTTAAATTTTGGTTTGTTTTACAGTTATGCCACAGTCTTAGGGTCTTGATGTTTCCTGCAGAATTTATAGTAGAAGATCAAAACTATTCTTTGGGGAAGTAAAACCCATTGAGAGGCTGGCCTTTGAATGATGCTTAAAGGTGTGGTTCTGTGCAGGTCCTGACAGAATGACTTGTTACGTTCCACATTTTTCATTCTCTATAGGTGTCATGCTTGGGCTCTTTTAACACTTGCCTTTCTGTTTTCACAATAAAAAATATTATGGTTTATACCAGGTGAGTAAAACATTAAAAATAAAACAAAACAAAACCTGGCTCATTGTAGATCTTGCAGGAGCTGTTCTTTTCATCTGTTTGGCTGAGCTGCTATCCCATTTTACTTTCATTATTCAAAACTAGAGTTAAATGCATTGCCCTGCGCATTTTTGGAGAGATGCTGCAGGTGAAAACATGCATGTCTGACAACAGAATAACCTCCACCAAGCTTTTGAGGCAATGTTTTGACTTGCTAGACTCCCCATTTCTGTCAGGGAATCCACCTCTTTTGTGAACTTGGGGAAAACATGCCAGGTGTTACCTAAGTAAAAACAGTGCACATAAGAATTAAACTCCATATGTGAGCTTCTTAGGTCCCAAAGTCTGACAAAATGAGAGAGACATACAGAGATGAAGAAAGATATTTTGTCATCAGAAAAAGAGAGGTGCTGTATTTGACTCACTTCTCTAAGAGTATTCTGAGGCATTCATTACAATTCTTACAGAAATGTGAAAATTTTTTTTTTCAAAAAGTAAGATTGTTTTATTATTTCACTAAGATCCTTCCTAGCTTCCAACATTCCACTTGGAGGATAACACTAGGAACATGTCACGCTTCTAAATTCTTTGTGTTCACTCTCTGAGGTGGTGCTGTTTTGATTCCTTTTTACAGATGAGAAAAGTGAGACCCGAGAAATTAAGTGATATGCGCGAGACCTGCCCGAGAAGTAATTGGAGCCCAGTACCCCTGATGTGGGAGTGCTGCTCTCAAGGCACAGTGCTATACTATGGAAAGGGGAATAATGGAAGGCCAGGTGGGTGCCTCACTTTGTCAGCCTGGGAACCTGACAAGGCAAGAAAGGCCTTGACTAATATTCTATATGAGCTCACCAACTACTTTGTAGACTGGGTTTAGCAGTATGTTCTTAGATTTAGTGGTGATATATGCTTTAATTTTCCATTCAAAAGGGTATCTGTAACTACGAAGCTTTAAAGATATTTCACACCAGCAGGAAATGTCATGGCTAAAAGCTGAAGAGTCAACTTCTGATCAACTAAGTCTAGTTCTTAATTTTTGTCTATTTGGCAACCAAATGAAAGTAAAAAAGGGAATATTATTGAAATCATTCCCATCATTAAAGGCTTTAATTTCGTAGCACGATAGCCTGTGATGAAAATAAGTGATAAGGAGAATTTTAACTAACACAGAGAGGAAAAAATCCATAAAACACCAAATTTTGAAAAAATTACATAGCCTTCAATTTTCCACTTTCAAAAAACCATAATTCCCACTTCTATTGTTGAAATCTTTAAAGACGTTTAGATTCAATTCCTAAATAACATTGAACCTTGTATTTTATGAGAAACAAATAAACCTAATGTATTTTCTTCAAATCGCTACCAATCAGGGATTGGCAAATTTCTTATGTATAGGACCAGATGGCAAATATTTTAGGCTTTCTGGGCCACACAGTCTCTGTCAAACCTTCCCTATCAATGCAGCACAAAAGATGTCACTGGTCGTATGTTAACAAATGAATGTAGTTGTGTTCCAACAAAACTTTATTTACAAAAACAGCTGGTAGGCAAGATAAGGCAGGCAGAATATAGATTGCTAGTCTTGGCTTTACACCATAGAAAAATCAGATACATTTTTTACCTGCCTTCTAGGAAATAAGAATCTATTTATAAATCAAATTATTTCTTCAACATAATAATAACCTTCAATAAGACCATTTCTACTAATAACTCCAGTGGTATAACAACAGTTCTACAAATTCCCTCTAATTCCAATGTAATCAACATGAATTATATTTCTTTGTTTTAAATATATGCATATATATTCAGACAAAACCACAGTTTCAGAAAACTAAGGGATACTTTCTAGTCTTCTACACAACTGTGAGATCTAAATCATTCTAGATGCTACATTTGACTTCTTAAATGCTTTTATCACTGTGGCCCGTGAACACACTGACCATCACAGGCCAAGACAAAAATCACACCCATTTTACAATAAAGTAAGCTATTAAGAAAATCTTAAGAAAGAGAAAAGATAGTTACTATTAATTAAGTGGAAGTGGATCATCATAAAGGTCTTCATCCTCATCGTCTTCTCACTGAGTAGGCTGAGGAGGGGGAGTAAGAGGAAGGGTTGGTCTTGCTGTCTCCTGGTGGCAGAAGCAGAAGAAAGTCTGCATATGTGAACCTGTGCAGTTCAAACTTGTGTTGTTCAAGGGTCAACTGTCATTTTAGGTGACTTTAACTTTGGTTATTATGTATTTATTTGAAATGAATTACTTAACCAAATAAATTAATTAACTGGTCAATTCTCTCATTTAAAAATTAAATCACAGACAGCTGCATGCACAGCATCCAGCACTTACTTTTCATCTTCCTGCTCCCTCCCTCTTAAAAATATACTCACAGTTAGTATTCAAGCTAAGGTCTAGGACACACCAAACTAAACAGGCTAAAATGCATCTTATTAAATTATGTCCAGAGAAAGAATGCAGAGGAATGAGGTGGTAAAAGTGTCTGGGTCGAGTGAGCTTGCTCATTTGTCTGTAGCCAGCTTCAGATCTGGGACATCCAGGTATCATGTCCTCCAAGAATGATTAAGAATTTAATGCCTTCTTAATGAATAAATAGTTTGGAGAGTCCTGAACAAATTTATCAGACATAACACTGCTTTATGTCTAAGACAAATCTTACTAGTAAGTAAAATTCTTCCGGACAACTAGAAAAATCCACTAACGGCTATCAAAAAAATAAACAGTCACAATGAAATATTCTGTTTAGAATGACTGACTGAAGTGCTTCAGTTCTCTTTTAACTAAACGAATTACTAAATAAGCATTTCTGAATGTGAACTATTCCAGGTATATAAATGTACCCAATGACTATGAACAAATTGGTTATAAAAATGGTTAATTGACCTTAGAATCATGGTTTTTTCCCCCTTTTCTACCAAGCAGATAGAATACCATTTTTCTACGGGTACCTCAGAAAGTGTCTATTCATCTCAAATCACATCACAGGATTTTTGAAAAAAATCACTAGATTTTCACTTACATAATCAGTAAAGGCACTGAAAATAATGTAAAAACAAGCATAAATTATGACAGCTTCGAAGTGGGTAGGACTTATGCTCTCATATCGTTTGCGATTTCTTCTGGTGCTGGTCAACAATGTGTGTATGCTCAGATTTAGGGCAGTTGTCTCTGGAGGATCATGATAAAAGTTTTGCTGCTGACACCAAAATCTGCTCTTTCCTTTTTTTCTCTCTGGCCAGCTAGATCCAAGCCACAGCAGCTCAAGAGAACCCAATAGGCTTGGAAACTCTGTAAATGTAGCAAGACACTCCTTGGTCTGTTGTGAGTAAAAACGATGTCTGGTGCAGGTCAGAATTCTTAGCTTTGCAGCTCAGCAGAGCCAACGTGAAGCAGGGAGAGAGGATTTTAGAGGAAAAGGCTAATTATGCCAGACTTGGCTCAATTTCCTACTAGATTCACTGGTAATTAATGTTCTCTTCTTCATTTTTACACATCCAGTTGGTGAATTGGGTACTGTGAGTCACTTTCTGCTTTTCCTTCTGTAACTATCAGCAACTTCTGTTGCTCCATTAGCAAATTGCCCTCCTGAGAATCCCTTTTCTGAAGGTTGGCTGCCAGGGCCATCTCAGTAGTCCTGACCTGGGGAAGACCTTTCGCAAAAGGGGTCAGGGCAGTAAGCTGCGACCAGCTAAAAACAACAAAATGGGGCTGTAGTAATGAATAAGGTTTCTTTTCTACTTCTTCCGTTTGTCTCCCTTATAAGGAAAGAACATTATTTTTCATGACTCTGTTATTTTTTTCTGTTTCCTGAGCAGTTCATGTCAACAAGGCATATATTTAGGAAAAGTGCTCATCAGGGAAGTAAATGCTTGTGAATTTGAAAATAATAACCACACAGAGGGCTCACAGGCAGCACTGAATGATGACAGGGAGAGTGGAGGAAATTTTAAATACAATTATTTAGATTTTATGAAGATTTATAAAGATATCTTATCTTAAGCAAATGTTAACTCCCTTGAATAGGTAAGAAAATGATGCAGGCTTGTTTCCAGCCGGTATTTAATACAGCTAGAGAATTGCTCTTTATGAAAATAGTAACAACTATGATACAAGTTTATCATGCCAGAATTACAGCAAGGTAAACTTGTATCACGGTAGCACCCCTGAGCAGTTTTTTAATAAACTAAAAGGAAGATTATTGACTGGTTTGTTTCAAAAATGCATTTCTGTGGTGTGTGTGATGTGTTTCCTGTGTGTCCCTGCACAACATAAAACTCTACTCTTAGCCTTGTTGTGAACTGAATGTAATGAGTGATCAGACATATGAGCTCTTCAACCGAAATTACATGGTTTTGAATCCAAGCTGTATTAAATTTACTTTCCAGAGCCAAAGTCTATGAGCCAATACATATCAGTTATGAATCTAGGATTAGAAGAAGTTGGAAAGTGGAGCAAGAAATTAATTAAAATAAGGCTGCAAAAATACAGAGGGGAAAACAAAAAGATGTTTTTAAATGCTAAGTCTTAAATACTGCCTATAGAAACAAGCTCTATGGACTGCCCAGCGTAAGCCCTGTATAATGTCAATAAAACCAGACAGACAGGATGGCACCATGCAGATCACGGATTTGTCCCATCTAGCTCCTTGGACTAGGTGAGTGCCTGAGGACCTGCTACTCTGTCTAAAAATCAAAGCCCAGTAGTGGTGGGGGACATTATCATGGATTTGCCACAAGTCACTTATTTGGGCTTTAGATTAAATCTTTTTGTTTTTGTTTTGTTTTACCATGAATGTCTTGCTCAGTACTCTTACTCCTGGGATCCTTAATACAGACTTCAGAAGGACATGGACATCTTGGGGGAAGTAAATGTGTAAAATTTGCAAGTTTAGGGGGAATTAATATATAAATATTAATGACACAGCAATAATTAAGACAACAGAGCAACGTTGTTCAGAACACAGAATGAGACTCTGTTTGGGAGAAAGCAAGGAAAGAGAACACAAGTCTTTGCCTGGTAATCCATAGAATTCTCCTGGATCTTGTCCAAGACCATCAGGGTGCTACTTCTGTAAGTCTGCAAGAACCATAGCATTACTAGGTGTGGGGTATGTCCTAAAGCAAACACAACTTAGATCACAACACCCAAGTCCTTTCAAATATATGGAAAGTCTTCTAAAGAGGGACAGATACAAATAAGCCCAGACAGTGAAAACTACAATAAACACCTAATTATTCAACGCTCATGCACCAAAGAACATCAACTAACATCAACACCGTCCAGGAAAACATGACCTCACCAAATGAAGTAAATGAGCCACCAGGGACCAATTCTGGAGAAACAGAGATATGTGATCTTTCAGACAGAGAATTCAAAATAGATGAGTTGAGGGAACTCAAATAAATTCAAGATAACACAGAGAAGGAATTTGGAATTCCATCAGACACATTTAACGATGAGATTAAAATAATTTCAAAAGAATCAAGCAGAAATTCTGGAACTGAAGAATGTAATTGGCATATTGAAGAATGCATCAGAGTCCTTCAATAGAAGAATTGATCAAGAAGAAGAAAAAACTAGTGAGCTTGAAGACAGCCTATTTGAAAATACACAGTCAGAGGAAACTAAAGAAAAAAAAATGAAGCATGCCTACAGGATCTAGAAAATAGCCTCAAAAGGGCAAATCTAAGAGTTATTGGCCTAAAAGAAGAAGTAGATAAAAAGATATGAGTAGAAAGTTTATTCAAAGGAATAATAAAGAGAACTTCCCAAATCTAGAGAAAGATATCAATATCCAAGTACAAGAAGGTTACAGAATATCAAACAGATTTAATTCAAAGAAGACTACTTCAAAGAACTTAATAATCAAACCCCCAAAGGTCAAGGATAGAGAGAGGATCCTAAAAGCAGCAAGAAAAAATAAACAAACAATGAAGCTCCAATATGTCTGGCAGCAGATTTTCAATGGAAACCTTATGGACCAGGAGAGAGTGGCATGACATATTTAAGAACTAGAAAAGCAAGAGTAAACCAAACCCAAAATTAGTAGAAGAAAAGAAATAATAAAGATTGCAGAAGAAATGAAATTGCAATAAAAAAATACAAAAGATCAATGAAACAAAAAGTTGTTTTTTTGAAAAGTCAAACAAAATTGACAAACTTTTAGCCAGAGTAACTAAGGAAAAAAAGAGAGAGAAGCTATAAATAAATAAAATCAGAAATGAAAAAGGAGACATTACAACTGATACTGCAGAAATTCAAAGGATCATTAGTGGCTACTATGAGCAACTATATGCCAATAAATTGGAAAATCTAGAATAGATGAATTCCTAGACAGATACAACCTACCAAGATTGAACTAGAGTGAAATCCAAAACCTAAACTGACCAACAACAAGTAATGAGATGGAAGCTGTAATAAAAAGTCTCCCAGTAAAGAAAAGCTCAGGACATAATGGCTTTACTGCTGAATTCTACCAAACATTTAAAGAATGAATACCAGCCCTATTCTGAAAAATACAGGAGGAGGGAATACTTCCAAACACATTCTATGAGGCCAGTGTTATGCTGATACCAAAACTAGACAAAGACACATCAAAAAAAGAAAACTACAGTCCAATATCTCTGATGGATATTGATGAAAAATTCACAACAAAATATTAGCAAATCAAATTCAACAATACATTAAGAAGATCATTCATCATGGCCAAGTGGGATTTATCTCTGGGATGCAAGGTTGGTTCAACATACACAAATCAATCAATGTGATACATCATGTTAACATAATGGAGGACAAAAATCATATGATCATTTTTATTGATGATGAAAAAGGATTTGATAAATCCAACATCTCTTCATGATAAAAACCCTAAAAAAACCGGGTATAGAAGGAACATACCTCAACATAATAAAAACCATATATGACAGACCCACAGCTAGTATCATACTGAACAGAGAAAAACTGAAAGCCTTTCCTGTAAAACCGGGAACATGACAAGGATGCCCATTGTCACCACTGTTATTCAACATAGTACTGGAAGTCCTAGATAGAGTAATCAGACAAGAGAAAGACATAAAGGGCATCCAAATTGGAAAGGAAAAAGTCAAATTATCCCTGTCTGCAGATGATATGATCTTATATTTGGAAAAACCTAAAGACTACACCAAAAAAAAAAAACTGTTAGAACTGATAAATCAGTAAAGTTGCAGGATACAAAATCAACATAAAAATCGTAGCATTTCTATATGCCAACAGTGAACAATGTGAAAAAAATCAAAAAAGTAATCTCATTTACAATAGCCACAAATAAAATTAAATGCTTAAGAATTAACCAAAATGTGAAAGATCTCTATAATGAAAACTATAAAACACTGATGAAGGAAAATGAAGAGGAAACACAAAAATATAAAGAAATTCCATGTTCATTGATTGGAAGAATAAATATTGTTAAAATGTCCATTCTACCCAAAGCAATCTACAGATTCAATGCAGTCCTTATCAAAATACCAATGACATTTTTCCTATAAATAGAAAAAATAATTATAGCCAAAGCTATCCTAAGCAAAAAAGAATAAAAATGGGGAATCACATTAACTAATTTCAAATTATACTACAGAGCTATACTAACCTAAACAGCATGATACTGGCATAAAAACAGATACATAGACCAATAGAAAAATAGAGAACTCAGAGACAAATCCACACAACTACAGTGAACTCTCTTTTGATAAAAGTGTCAAGAAAATATACTGAGGAAAAGACAGTCTCTTCAATAAATGGTGCTGGAAAACTGGGTATTCATATGCAGAAAAATGAAATAGAACTATGTCTTGTTATATACAAAAATAAAATTAAAATGGATTAAAGACTTACATCTAAGACTTCAAACTATGAAACTACTACAAGAAAACATTGGGAAAATCTCCAGGACATTGGTTAGGGCAAAAATGTCTTGAGCAATACTCCACAAACAAAGGCAACCAAAGCGAAAATGGATAAATGGGATCACATGAAGTTAAAAAGTTTCTGCACAGCAAAGAAGACAATCAGCAAAGTGAAGAGACAACCCACAGAACAGGAGAAAATACTTGCAAACTGCCCATCTGACAAGGGATTAATAATCAGAATATATAAGGAGGCCAAACGACAGTATAGGAAAAAATATAATAATCTAGTCCAAAAAATGGGCAAAAGATTTGAACAGACATTTCTCAGAAGACATATAAATGGCAAACAGGCATACGAAAAGGTGCTCAACATCACTGATCATCAGAAAAATGTAAATCAAAATTACAATGAGATATCATCTCACACAAGTTAAAATGGGTCATATCCAAAAGACAGGCAATAACAAATGCTGATGAGGATGTGGAGAAAAGGAAAGCTCTGTACACTGCTGGTGGGAATGTAAACTAGTACAACCACTAGTGAGAAGAGTTTGGAGTTTCCTCAAAAAAAAAAACTAAAAATTGAGCTACCACATGACCCAGCAATCCCACTGCTGGGTGTATTCCCAAAAGAAAGGAAATTAGTATATCGAAGAGAAAGTCGCAATTTTATGTTTGTTACAACACTGTTTACGTTTGTTACAACACTGTTTACAATAGCTAAGATTTGGAAGCAACCTAAGTGTCCATCAACAGATGAATGGATACAAAAAATGTGGTACGTATACACAATGGAATAGTATTCAACCATAAAAAGGAATGAGAACCAGTCATTTGCAAAAACATGGATGGAACTGGAGATCATTATGTTAAGTGAAATAAGCAAGGAACAGAAAGACAAATATTGCATGTTCTCATTTATTTGTGGGATCCGAAAATCAAAATAATGGAACTCATTGACATAGAAAGTAGAAGGATTGTTGCCAGAGGCTGGGAAGGGTTGTGGGGGCTTGGAGGAGAGGTGGGGATGATTAATAGGTACAAAAGTAGTTAGAAAAAATGAATAAAACTTACTATTTGATAGCATAAGAGTGTGACTATAGTCAATAATAACTTGACTGTATATTTTTAAATAACTTAAAAAGAGTGTAATTGGATTGTTTGTAACTCAAAGGATAAATGCTTGAGGAGACAGATACTCTATTCTCCCTGATGTGCTTATCCTACATTGCATGGCTTTATCAAAACATCTCATGTACTCCATAAATATATACACCTACTAGGAACCCCCCAAAATTAAAAACAACAAAGCAATTAAAAAACTAAATAAATAAAAATATTTTTTTAAAAAGACAACAGAAAGCGTTAGGTTTCATTATCCAGTATACTCTTAAAACAACCAAAATAAGTCATTTTGGAAACAGTAAGCCAGAATATTGACTTACATGAAATAATTATAAATAAATATGGTATCATCAAAATAACTGCATATAATGCCATAAAGCCTGTAGATTTGTATAATTATGTTTATTTGACCTTTAAGAATAGGATATTTTCAATGCTATACAAATTACCCAGATTTGTCAATTCAACATAACCTAAAACAATTTGTAATATGTATTGATGGTATTTTGGAAGCTTTTAAATGAAGACACAAATAAATGTAACGCAATTTTCATCAAAACGTATTTAGAAATACAAATAGCCAATCAAACTCTGGTTTAATATTCAGAAACCACTTGGTTCTGGCTCAGCTTATGGGAGACAAGTTGGTATTTGGGAATGGGAGTTGGAGAACTTCTGGAAGGCTGGAACAATCCTAAGTTATCTTCAAGGATCACATTTGCCCTGAGAATTTGTTTCAGCATTAAGTGGATCCAGAATGTTTAGATTATTCAGATATTCATGTCAGAAGCTAAGGGGTCTTAGAATGCCTATAGAATACTAGGAACTCAATAAATGTTTGACTCTCCTGAGAGATGATGATGATGATAAGATCCGATATTAATAGCAACAAAAAGCAAAAGCTGAAAAGCAAGTTTGGCAATATACCATATATCTTGGTTAGTAAAGTATAGTTCACCCAGACTTCTCTGCTGCTAATGAGTCTTAGCATCATTCAGCTAAATGACATATCTAAGGTCACTTGTAAACCTTTTCATGGTCATTATAAAATATTCCTGGAAAATAGATATAAGTAATTTTGTCCTCTGTTATTATATAACCAAAAAAGAAAATATTTAGTTCATTGGATGTTGTTGGATCCTTACTTTCACACCTAAGGAAAAGACATGGTCCTACTAGCCTCAGAAATTAAGTAGCACAGGAGTAAGAGACATTCTTTAGGACTTTTTTCTTGCAAACCAAAATGACATGGGCACTGAAGTCATGCATGTCTTGCCTTCAATCCCTTCTCATCAATTAAAATCTGTGCCATCATTGGCAACTCACTTTATTTCATGAGCTACAATGTCTTTATCTGAAAAGTAAATACGATAATGTTTAACTTGCAATGTCTTTGTGAAGATTAAACAGTGTAATGTGTAATATAATGTCTAAGAAATAGTAGTCAAGAAAAGCCACATGTCTTCACATAATGGGTACAGACACCATAAAATTGGGGAAGAAAATTATATTTATATGTCAAAAAAAGACTTTTCTTATGATATTACTTAAAATATACTACAGAAGTTCTAACAGAATAAGTTCTTGAAAATTAATTGCAAGCTGCCCTGAGCTTAAACAAAGAATTTTTCAGTAAAAGGGAAAATTTCACTTTCAAATAATGCAGACTTATGATACCATCTTTCCATGATTACTTAAGAACCAACTGAAATAATCAGGAGAAATCATACATGTGGGTGGGTTTATTTTTCAAAAAAAAAAGATATGAATATTTGCTTAAATTGTTTTTTATTTTAAATAAAAATATGTATCTCAGTAATTAGGATATTAATGAGCATACTCAATGTAAGAAATTTTCTCCAGATTTCTATCACTACAAATAAAACTTTATTATTCTTCATTACATTAACTCATTTTTGTCTTACTATTATTCTTATTTTATCACTGCCACTACTGTGATTAATTTAAATAACTTGTAAGAACCTTGGAACACATCCTGAATATAGTTTCTTAATCATTTAATGAAAACATTTTAACAACTAAATATATCTAAAATTTTCATCAAATATGTTGCTCATATTCCTGAATTTTTAAAATGGATTTTCCCTTTGCAGTTCTAATTCTCCCCATTCCAAGCAAGGCTGCCCTTGCCCATAAGTAGGGTGAGAAGCCATCTCCTCTCTCATGTAATAAGGAAACCTTCTGCCCAGGAAGATCATCTTTGTCTAAAATTCTCCCCTAATGTCAAACTTTTGACTTGTGTTTTGACGGCGACTATGAAAGCACTAACGTTATCTACAAGGCATTACACATTGAGCCATCATGGGTCTTTTCCTACCAAAGTGTGGGACCTGAGGGAATGGATTTGGGAGGGAAAGAAAGACAGAAAGAGCAGCACTAGATGCTGCAGGGGGTGGGCAGGGCAGGTCCTGCTCGGGACCACAGGAGTTCCTGCAGGAATAGCCCAGTACCATGTGATATGGCTAGAGGGTCTTGAAGCAAACCCAGTCCATTTCACAATTCAGCCTTGGGCCAGAGCAGAGCCACTGATGTCCTTCCTTCCCACAGCCCAGAGAGCACCTTTAATTCACATACTTGCCTTTTCTCACGCGGGAGGGATTGTGAATGCTACCTGTGTCTGCCTCCTTTTCCCGAAACGAAGCTCACAGCTTGGTGCTCAGGCTAATTATTTGACTAGGACTGTAAATCCTAACAGTTACTGTGGAGTTAACATCATTGAAAAATTGAGCAGTTTAGCTGCAAGAAATCTATAACCTACTTTGTGCTCAGCCTCTAAGCAATAAGAGCCCACCGACAATTCTAAGTAGTAGTGCTGACCCTTTTCTTAGAGTTTTAGGTAAGGAGATTTAAAAGCTTCTCTTTTCAGTCTTTTACTTCCTTATTTCCAGGAAAATATTAAAAAAAAAACACAAAACCCTTCTGGTACAATTTAAACCAATTTCCTTTTGTCTGGCAGTCAAGTGAAACCAGGTGAATTGCTTGAGAGTATAAAGCTTATAGGCTTATGGGATGCTCATAGTATTGGGAAGATCCTTAGAGATCATTTAGTTCATCTCCTTTCTTTTGCAGCTAAGGATTAAAATACAGGGATGTATAGTAACTTGAGCAAACACACACAGTCAATTAATCATAGATCCTACGAGCTTTAATCATATGCAAATATAAATAATTCTAAGCCATTAAAAGCCTCTTGGAATTATGAAGCTAGTAAAATAAAAAGAAAAATAGAGTAAAGAATAAAGAAAAATAGTAAAATAGAGAAACTCCAACAATCTGAGCAGGTTTGATCAGGACTCAGACTACCGGAGTTCTATTCCTGGCTCTGCCACTTATTAGTGTGATCTTGGGCAAGTTATTTCATCTGCCCTTCAGTTTCCTCATCTGTAAAATGATGTCAATGATAGCACCAACCTTAGAGAATTGTTATAAAGATTAAATGAGCTTACACATGGTAATAATAGCTAATGTGTTTTTATGTGTCCAGCGTCATTTCAAATACTCTGTCTGTACTAAATTTTCACAGCAAATCCTTGACATAGATACTATGGTTCTCATCATTCTATAGACAAGAAAATGAAGGAACTTATAAAACCACCAGGTACATAGTGAGTGATCAATAAACCTTAGCTGGGAACATCAGCACCATTGCCATTAGCATTATTATTTGGTGATTTACATGAAGATTAGACTTCAAACTTTCTTAAGCAGATTGCTTTGCTCCTATGGTACCAGGGGTTGTTGGCAGCTCAGAAAAGGGAAACAAGTGAAAGAAAATCTCACTTAAAAAAAAAAATTGACTGCCCAAAGAAAAACCACAAACGGCATTCCAAAGTTGTAAATGACAACAACATTACCCATTCTTTGGAATCATCTCCACGATGCCCCCTTTCATTATGTAGATAACAAAGAAAACAAGAAAAAAAACCTTTTCCCCCCACTCACCAGTGAAAATCACAAAAATTTCAGTGTATTACTGTAGTAGTAAAGTTCACGAAACACTTGAAATTCAAATTTTTTTTTTTCTGAAATGCTCTTGTGACTCTTGACAGCTCATTAAGGATCCATACATGTCCAGACTGGGCTTACATGACTGGCAAAGAGCTACTTTCACTGGCTGTCTCTCAGAATGCATCACCACAGGTGTGGACTGGTCAGTCTAGAGGGAGGGTGCATCACCGCGGGGAGAGGACGTTTCGTGAGACTTCCAGCAATTCCCGGCTGGCTTTTATTTTGACATGTGGGACTGTAACCCAAAGTGCACAAGGATTAGAGATATTATTTTATGTCTATTTTGAGACAGGATACAACAAAAACCCAGAGTAGCTATAGCATCGTTTGCCTGACGTGACACTTAGAAGGGAAGATGCCCCAGTCACATCAAACAATCGCCATTTCAGGTAGGTTTTACTTTGTCCACTCAAGCTGACAGCAGTTCTTACTGGGAATTTCACAAGCGCAAAACGTATTTCTTGCAAGAGAACAATTATTTCTCACAAATGGGTAAATGCTGCTTGAATGGATGAGCGTAACTTAGAAACTACTGGAATACCAGAAAAAGAAAGCCAAGAGGATTAGAATGGATAACACCACCAGCTCAAATCCAGTTTCCAAATGGTTACACCTATCTAGCATTTAATGGGTTATGCTAGAAAGTAGGCAGTGAATTTAATTTTTCAAAGACCGACCAATTTCAAACAATATGCTCATACTAAGAATAAATAGTAAGAAATGTATTGAGTCATAAGCAGAGTATTATAAAGAGGATTCTTGCAGAATACAGAAATTTCACAGTAATACATTGCTTACATTTATTGAACATCTCCTATATTTCAGGAAAATTGCTTTGTGCTTTATATATGATGGTCCATCTAGTCCTTTAAGCAAAAATAAGAACATTAGGTTGAGAGAGCTAAAGTATGCTGCCTACATCACATAACAAGAAAGTGTCATACCCAGGATTGAAACTTTTCTTACTTTAGTTCTAAAGATTGCATTCTCCCCTAATGTTCATTCTCACAATGTGGGGAACACATTCTCTAAAAGTATCTACCCATAGGTTAGAGCGCATGCCGAACATAGGGTTAATATGGTACCACTTTCCAACATTTTATGGTAACTATGGGGAGACAGCTTTTTAAGTGTATGAAATTTTAAAATAGTCTGTCAAATGTATTTCTGCAAAATTCCCACGTCTTAGCTCCAGACAATATAAATGTTTGTTTTCTTGTAAACACTGGGGAAACAAAAAGGTTATATATAATGGGGGATTTGAAAAGCTGGTGACTGGTTTATACAGCTGATACTCAAGTAGAAATATTAGCATTCTGATTTCTTGGAAAGTGAGTGGAGGATCACAAATTGGTAATTAAATATGTCTTTTAATTGTAATCCCTTTTTAGTTTTAGAAAACGACATTAGATGCCACAAACCAGGTTAATCTTATAATTAATTAACAAAATATATATAGACTATATATATATAGTCTATATATATAGTCTATATATATAGTCTATATATATGTAGACTATATATATATAGTCTATATATATATAGTCTATATATATATAGTCTATATATATATATATAGAGAGAGAGAGAGAGAGAGAGAGATGGAGTCTCGCTCTGTTGCCCAGGCTGGAGTGCAGTGGTACGATCTTGGCTCACTGAAAGCTCTGCCTCCTGGGTTCACGACTTTCTCCCGCCTCAACCTCCCGAGTAGCTGGGACTACAGGTGCCCGCCACCATGCCCAGCTAATTTTTTTGTATTTTTAGTAGAAATGGGGTTTCACCATGTTAGCCAGGATGGTCGAGATCTCCTGACCTCGTGATCCACCCGTCTTGGCCTCCCAAAGTGCTGAGATTATGGGCGTGAGCCACCGCACCTGGCCATACTGACTATATATTAAGCTTTGTTTCTTACCACAGGATGATCCTTGGTAACTCATACATACTAAAACTTTTAAGGCCTATGATTTTCATGTTATTCTCCACTTGGTATCTTTAAGGTGAAACAATTTTTTAAAACATATTTTCGAATGATAACAGGTTTGGCAGATAAACACTGCAAGTTTAAAGTACAGTATTGATACCAAGAAAAGGCACAGGTGCCTGAATCAGCCCAAGTGAGATACATGGTGCACATGGAATACTATGCAGCCATAAAAAGAATAAAACCACATCCTTCACAGCAACATGGTTGGAGCTGGAGGCCATTATCTTATGGCCTTAATTAATGCAAAACCAGAAAATCAAATACCACATGTTCTCACTTATAAATGGGAGCCAAGCAATGGGAACATGTGGATATAAACATGGAAACGGTAGACATTGGGGACTCCAAAAAGGGAGAAGAGAGAGAGAAAAGGGTTGAAAAACTACCTATTAGGTATTGTCTTTACTATTTGGGTGATGGGTTCAATAGAAGCCCAAACACCAGCCCTACACAATATACCCTTAACAAACTTGTAGATATACTCCCTGAAACTAAATTTTTAAAAAATGAGAGATAGATGGCCTGGGTGCTGATTCTCCCACAGTGCACTTACAGCAGGAAAATGATCCATTGCCTTGGACACCACAACCACTGAAACAGCAAGACATAAGATACACTCTAAATTCATCGAAAACATGAATCATATTATTTTGAAGATTAGAATGAGTAGACATTTTGACATTTATAATGCAAAAAAGGAAAAATAAATTACCTGGGCAATAATTCTATGAAATTGTCATTCTTGCAGCAAGTTTAAAACAAATCATAGACATTCAAAGGGGAAATCGACAGATTATTTACAGTTAAAAAAGAGAGAGGTCTTAGCTAGGGTGAAGACGAAGAAGAACACATCAAACTAAGCACTGTAAAATGCTAAAGGTCTGTTTGATGACCATTTTCAGAATCATCTTGAAAGATGACATGAAATAAGAGAAAAATAGGTAAAGTTCTATCCTTTAGATAGCAAAAAAACTTCTCCTTTTGGCCAAAATAAAAGCAAAACTAAAGAAAAAAATTACTTGCCTCACACAACATTGCCAAATAATGCAGTTTCAAATGTCCAAGAGTACAATTGAATTGGTTGAGAGATTTTAGCTCTTAAGTAAATTAATGTATTTTTTATTTGTTTACTACATTTACAATGATTTTATCTATGAAGATATGTTAATTGAAAATGTTTACAGTTTTTTTTTAGCAAGATACACACCTATGTGAGTTTTTTTTTTTTCAATCTAGTACGATTCACTAGAACGTACAGATGTCTGCAGAGATAGGGAAAAATCTACCAGTGGTTAAAACTCCGTGAGTTATTGCTTACATTAAGGCCATAGGAAACTCTGCTGCGGCCAGTGACTACTGCAATCACTCACCAAGAACACTTCTCTCAAATGGTTTTGTTCATGATATTTCTCAGTTTGTTCTTTGAGGTGGTAAAACTTTACCACAATAAAAATACTAGTTTGAATATGTGTTTGTTAGAAAATTTGAATTAAAATGGAAATGTACTTTGGAAGCTTTCCCTACTACATATTTTCCAGTAGAGTCAGGAGGAGGTGTTGAACAGAATATTTGAACTGAGATTTATTCGTTATTTGTCTTTGTGGAGTGTAAGAAAGATAAGAAAATTAAAAAAAAATGAAATCTTGGAAAATGTGTTTGTTGACCCAGAGCTGGCTTGTTTACCAGATATATATATATATATACACACACACAAACACATGCAAACATATATGTATACACACATACATATACACACATATATATATACACATGCACATATATATATATACACACACAAATATATGTATTTTTTTTTTGATGGAGTCTCGCTCTGTCACCCAGGCTGGAGTGCAGTGGTGCCATCTCTGCTCACTGCAAGCTCCGCCTCCCGGGTTCACACCATTCTCCCACCTCAGCCTCCTAAGTAGCTGGGACTACAGGTGCCCGCCACCAAGCCCAGCTAATTTTTTGTATTTTTAGTAGAGACGGGGTTTCACCATGTTAGCCAGGATGGTCTCGATCTCCTGACCTCGTGATCTGCCCACTTCGGCCTCCCAAAGTGTTGGGATTACAGGCGTGAGCCACCTCGCCTAGGCCGTTTGCCAGATATATTCTTAAGGCTGAATGCCTTGAATCAAGATATGCTCTAACTGTCCATGGCTAGATTGCTGTAGGGATGAAAAATTGGATGAAGAAATTTGACCTCAGAGATTATGAATCATTGGTGACTTTTAATTTGATGCATGTTAAAGTGTTTGTGATAAAACTTAAAAAATGAAACAGCATATTTCATGAACAAAAAGACTGTGAATGAGCTATCTGCAAGACATAGTAGTAAAATCTGATGAATGTATTAGAGACTCTTGTAGTAAAGGCCCCTGCAGTTGGCTGTATAATACAAGTGACCTAAGAGACACGGCTAATGAATTTCTTCAGCAGTGGCCTTAAAACACCAAGAGGCGCGAAACTCAAATGCCCTCAGAGAGACGTAAATTAGTGAGCCTGAGGACATAAGAATGAACACCGTCTAAAGGCCTTTACCTTTCTTGGAAGGTTGTGAGCAGCTGAATTTTGTCCTAAGGTCACCAGTTTGTAACCCTGCATTCCAACCTGCCCTTTGCCTGCCAGCTTTTTGGGGATCCCTCCTCAGTCTTTATTCTGACTTAGCTTAGAAACTCACAGAAAACGTTCGCTGATCCTTGGTGCACGCGTTTTGAGAATCCTAATTTGCATAATAGGCAATTCATATTACCTATTATGCGAATTAGGGTTCTCAAAACGCGTGACACCAAGATGGAACAGAATCAATCTGGATTACTGACTTGTTACTCAGAATTAGCTCTGTGTATAAAGGTATGATTTTCTGAAAGTGCAAGTACAACTTGCATTGAAATGCATTGTCTTTGAAAAATTACATTTGATGAAATCAACCACTGTTCATCTGTTATCCAACAAAAAAATTTAGTTTTGATTTATTTTGTTCTTTCTGAAGATACATAATGTAAAATGTTATTTCAATGAATAACACTTTTCAGTGGGATGCAAACTTCCTGTGTTTTAAACAATCAAGTACCTTCAATGACATGTGAATTTGTATGACCTTAGTATCTTTTTCCCTTCATTCCTGTTACAGTGCCTCAGAGGAAATGTCTGAGAACGCAGCAGGACTCCATACTGATGTAAAGACCTGTGGTAGGAGAAACACAGCCCAGCCCTGAGTCAGACTAAACATGGGAATATTTCTCATGGAATGGGGACAGAGCAGAGGACAAGGTGATAAAGAAATAATATCTCCTGGCCTGGTGCGGTGGCTCATGCCTGTAATCCCAGCACTTTGAGAGGCCAAAGCAGGTGGATCACTTGAGGTCAGGAATTCGAGACCAGCCTGGCCAACATGTCAAAAACCTGTCTATACTAAAAATACAAAAGCCAGGCGTGGGGGCACATGCCTGTAATCTCTGCTACTCAGGTCTGAAGCATGAGAATTACTTGAACCTGGGAGGCAGAGGTTGCAGTAAGCTGACATCGCGCCACTGCACTCCAGCCTGGGCAACAGAGTGAGACTCTGTCTCAAAATAAAAAATAAAATAAAATAAAATAAATAAAATAAAATAAAATAAAGAAATACTTTTCATAAGTCATGTGATCCTTCATACACATTAGAATCCTGTAATAAAATCCTATACTACTTGTTTCAAATAATAAATCAAAGTGTATTTAATGTCATTTAGTCAATGTTAAGGGAACATCTCATTAGGGACCCATGATTTTTTTCTGATAAGCTGCCATCACAGAATGACTTCAAGTCGATGGCCTTTACTGAAATAATTTCTAATATGTATTTTATACAATTCAATCTTAGCTCACGCCATGCTTTATAGATATAAACATATCTGTAATCTGATTATGTCTTTTTCACCCACTTTCTTTCTGTATTTTACACCTTCATGGCTAAACTAACATCAACTTTAAAAATATGGGCCACAGCTCCATCCAACATTAAGGTTTTAATTGTTTTTCTTGCCCTCTTTATATGAGTGGTATTGGTTTCATGTGATCTTAAAAATTTTGCTACTTTATCCGATGTGTATGTGTGTGTGTGGGTGTGGCTGTGTGTGTGGTAATATCTTATATGGGCATCATCTGTCAATCTCAAATTTTATTAGACAATCATGAAAGGGTGTGCTGTTTTGTTTAAAAGTTTATATGTTTAGTTATTGGTCATTGGATTTAAAGAAATCTTAAGATTTCTTTAAATTGAAGAAAAGTTAGGTAAAATGATTAACACTAAAATGATGATTAATGATGATTAATTGTTTAACTAGTCCCATTTTCCCAGTTGCAGAATCACTACATACTATTCTGAATGTAATGTTTGATTAAAGAGATGAGTCAAACTCTCTTGTTTAGTGGTGTAGTTAGAGCAATCACTATTGACTGCTTATCACTTCTAGGCAGTCCTACCCATGAAGAAGAACTGAGAGCTCCTCAATTCAGAGCTTCCAGTGGGTTTTGTGGACACTACCTTTTCCTTTATTCAAAGCCATTTCTAATATAAATGCTTATCATTTATTGTTTACTTATTTATTTACTAGACCTCATGAATTGGATTGGTCATAATCCTTCATTCACAACACATCATCATCCTCTTAGATGTAGGAACTTTCTTTATATAGTTTGTGGGTTTTCTAATGTACTTATTATATAGTTTGTTTCTAATGTACTTATTATATAGTTGGTTTTCTAATGTACTTATTCTTAATTCTATAATCAACAACCCCCAAAGCACTATCTAATCCAAGAGCTAGAATATTCTACCAAAAATACTTTTTCCTAAGCACTTCTCCCAATCCCACATCCCTGCCATTTCTCCAAAAATAACCAATACCTGAATTTTATATCTATTTCCTCCTTGTTCTTTATGTAGGTGAGTTACTGCATACATTTGATGCCTAAAAAATATTGTTTAGTTTTACCAGGTTGTGAGTTTCAAAACAAGAATATCAAACAAGAATATCAAACTGTATGTTGTCTTTTGAGACTTACTTTATTGATTCAGCAAAATGATACTAATGTTTATCCATGTTGTTGCATGTAGCTAAACATACTCTATTGTGAAAAGATACCATAATTTATATATTTTCTGTCTATATGTTTTTGTATTATTTCCATTTTGTTCCTTTATGATCAGTGCTATTGTGTACATGTTTTGGGGGACACATGTACTAAGCTTTTCCTTGAATTGAACTTGGAGTAGAATTGCTAGATTTTAAAGAATGCAAATGTCAGCTGTATATTGTTTTCCAACGCAGTTGTACCAGTTTATATTTCTACCATCAAAGTAAAAGAAAATCCTGGATACACACTCCATCCAACACTTGATATGGCCAGTCTGCTTTATTTTGCTATTGAAAAGTCAAGTTGATATTGTCTTCTTAATTTTCATTTCTTTCATTATCAATAAAGAGGAAGTCAAACTGTCACTGTTTGCTGATGACATGATTGATTGTATACCTAGAAAACCTTAAAGACTTATCTAAAAAGTTCCTAGAACTGGTAAATGAATTCAGCAAAGATTCAGGATACAAAATTAAGTACAGAAATCGGTAGTTCTGCTACACACCAACAGCATCCAAGCTGAGAATCATATCAAGAATTCAAGCCCTTTTACAATAGCTGCAAAAAAGTAAAATAAAATACTTAGGAATATACCTAACCAAAGAGGTGAAAGACCTCTACAAGGAAAACTAGAAAACACTGCTGAAATGAATCACAGATGACACAAACAAATGGAAACACATCCCATGCTCATGGATGGGTGGACTCAATATTGTGAAAATGACCATACTTCCAAAAACAATCTATAAATTCAATGCAATTCCCATTAAAATACCAACATCATTCTTCACAGATCTAGAAAAAACAATCATAGAATTCATATGGAGCCAAAAAAAAAGCCTGCATAGCCAAAGTAAGACTAAGCAAAAAGATCAAATCTGGAGGCATCACATTACCTGACTTCAAACTATACTATAAAGCCATAGTCACCAAAATAGGTTGGTACTGGTATAAAAATAGGCATATAGACCAATGGAAAAGAATAGAGAACCCAGAAATTAAGCCAAATACTTATAGTCAACTGATCTTCGACAAAGCAAACAGAGGCATAAAGGAGGGAAGGACACCCTATTCAACAAATGTTGCTGGGATAATTGGCAAGCCACATGTAGAAGAATAAAACTGGATCCTCATCTCTCACCTTATACAAAAATCAATTCAAGATGGATCAAAGACTTAAATCTAAGGCCTGAACCCATAAACATTTTAGAAGATAACATTGAAAAAACCCTTCTAGACATTGACATAAGCAGACTTCAGATGACCAAGAACCCAGAAGAAAATGCAACATAAACAAAGATAAATAGATGGGACTTAATTAAACTAAAAAGCCTCTGCACAGCAAAATATATAATCAGCAGAGCAAATAGACAACCAACAGAATAGGAGAAAATCTTCACAATCTATACTTTTCACAAAAGACTAATAGCCAGAATCTACAGAGAACTCAAATAAATTAGCAAAAAAACAAAATAAAACAAAACAAAACAAAAAAGAACCAAAAAACAAAACAACAACAAAAAACTCAAAACAAAACAAAAAAAACAAGCAATTCCATCAAAAAGTGGGCTAAGGACATGAATAGACAATTTTCAAAAGAGGATATACAAATGGCCAACAAACATATGAAAAAATGCTAAATATCACTAATGATCAGGGAAATGCAAATCAAAACCACAATGCAATGCCACCTTACTCTTGCAAGAATGGCCATAATCAAAAAATAAAACAAAAAAATAGATGTTGCATGGATGTGGTGAAAGGAAACACTTTTGCACTGTTGGTGGGAATGTAAACTAGAACAATCCTATGAAAAACAGTGTGGAAATTCCTTAAAGAACTACTATAAAATTGGGTCTACCATTTGATCCAGCAATTCCACTCCTGGGTATCTACCCAGAGGAAAGGAAGTCATTATACAAAGAGGATACTTGCACAGGCATGTTTATAGCAGCACAATTCACCATTGCAAAAATATAGAACCAGCCCAAATGCCCATCAATCACCAAGTTGATAAAGAAAAAGGAATACTACTCAGCCATAAAAGGAACAAAATAATGCATCAAGATGGAATTGGAGACCATTATTCTAAGTGAAGTAACTCAGGAATAGAAAGCCAAACAGCATGTGTTCTCACTCATAAGTGGGAGCTAAGCTATAAGGACCCAAATGCATAAGAATGACACAATGGACTTTGAGGACTCAGGGGTAAGGATGAGTGAGGGATAAAAGACTACACATTGGGGCCGGGCGCGGTGGCTCACGCCTGTAATCCCAGCACTTTGGGAGGCCGAGGCGGGCGGATCACGAGGTCAGGAGATCGAGACCATCCCGGCTAAAACGGTGAAACCCCGTCTCTACTAAAAATACAAAAAATTAGCCGGGCGTAGTGGCGGGCGCCTGTAGTCCCAGCTACTTGGGAGGCTGAGGCAGGAGAATGGCGTGAACCCGGGAGGCGGAGCTTGCAGTGAGCCGAGATCCCGCCACTGCACTCCAGCCTGGGCGACAGAGCGAGACTCCGTCTCAAAAAAAAAAAAAAAAAAAAAAAAAGACTACACATTGGGTACAGTGTACACTGCTCAGAAATCACCAATAAAGAACTTAATCATGTAACCAAACACCACCCGTTCCCCAAAAATCTATTGAAATAAAAATTTAATTTAATTAACATATATGTACTGATTCTAGAATGCATATGAAAAGAAAAAAACAAGAGCCAAGGCAACCAAGAAAAAGAAGAGGATGAGTAGGAAGAGGAGGAGGAGGAGAGAGGAGGAGAAGGACAAGTAAGTGGAGAAACCATAAGAAGAAAAAGAAGAGTAAGAAAAAGGGAGGCCATGTGTGGTGGCTTATGCCTGTAATCCCAGCACTTTGGGAGGCTGAGGGGGGCAGATCACCAGAGTTCAGGAGTTTGAGACCAGCCTGGCCAACATGGTGAAACCCTGTCTCTACTAAAAATACAACAAAATTAGCTGGACATAGTGGTGCATGCCTGTAATCCCAGCTACTCAGGAGGTTGACGCAGGACAATTGCTTGAACCCAGGAGGTGGAGGTTGCCGTGAGCCGAGATCATGCCATTGCACTCCAGCCTGGAAAACAAGTGCGAGACTCCATCTCAAAAAAAAAAAAAAAAAAGGGTAGGGAGAAGGAGAAGGAAAAGTTGGCATTACCATTCATAATAGATATCAAGAATTACTATTAAGCTACAGTAATTCATATAACATCAGTCTACAGGTAGATAAATGACCAGTTGAACAGATTAGGGATGTCAAAAACAAATCCATGCATACAAGAAAATGTGACATGGGACATCTCTGGCACTATAAGTCAGTGGGGAAGAAATGAATTATTGAATAAACAGTACTGGGGCATGTGCCCATTTAAATGAAAACAAAATCCACAAAAATCACCCAACATACAAAAATTTGTTCTGGATGGATGAAAGTTTAATATGAAAGTCAAATTATTAAAGAAGAAAATGTACTTCTTTATTATTTCATGATGGACAAACATTTCTTAAATACAAAGGAAAAAGCACAAATCATAAGGAAAAACTTTAATATATTTGACCACATTAAAATCTATTGATCAAAGATGACATTAATAAAGTAGAAAAGGAAAGTCATGAATTGAAGGAAGATAATTGCAGTGCCTGTTACTGACAAATAATTAGTGACCATAAGTATAAAGAATTCCTATAAATTACAAGAGTAACAAATGGCATAAGTAGGTATGTAACAGAAAAGGAAACATGGTTGGCAAAAACTCACAAGTAATAAAAAAAAAAAAAAGCACAGTAAAACCACAATGGGACACTGTTTTCCTCAGAACCAAATTGTCAAAAATCAGGAAGTCTGATAATACCAAGTACTACTGAGCCCATGAAAAGTAATTCGGAATGTATTTTGGCATTATCAAACAAAGCTTGAGATGTATCTAACTTTTAATCTAGGGATTACATTCTGAAAGTTTTTCCTCATAAACATGTACACAAGGAAATGGACAAAAATTTTCATATAATCAAGTTCGATGTATTTTTATAATGAAATATCACAGCCCATTGAAAATGAATTGACATCCAGGTTCATCAACATGAGTGAGTCTCAAGACAGAATGGAGAGGGGAAAAAAGCACATGGGCAAAGAACACGTATTTTATGCTTCATTTTCTATAAAGTTCAAAACTATGCAAAGCTAAATAACACATTATTTAAGGATTCAATCATACTAGGTAACATATTTTTTAAAAATCAAGGAAAGATAAATAAAGAAGTCAGTTTTCTCTGGGAGTACAGATAAGGATCTTTTTAAGGATGGGAACACAAGGAGGCTTTAAAATTACTGGTAATATTTTAAGTTGATCAGTGGATACAACAGTGCAGCAGTGTCTTCATGGACTTGATTCCTCACCCTCATGTGTCCTTAGGATCTTAGACGCTCCTACCTTATGAAAAAATGTTTTAAAAGATGACCTTTTCTTGCTTTTGCATAGTCAGAATTTCATGCCCTTGTTCCATATGGCTTGGGATTGGGAAATATAAAGACGAAGTCTTCCAGCATTTGTAGCCCTGAAAATACTGTGAAAGTTACTAGAGATGCTGCATTAATCATGTGTTTTGTTTTCTGTATTTTGTGAAACCTTGACATATTAAAAGCCTTCCTGGCAGGAGAGAGATTGCCTCTCCCAGGGCTAACCCTTTCTTAAAGCAAAAGCCCGGGCTGGGAGCATGTCTGTCACATACAAACCAGCCAGTCCTGAGTTTTTTAGACTCCACCAACCCGTTATCTAACTCTCATACACAAAGCCAATAATGTATTCCCTGCCCTGAATCCTCCCAGAGCCTGGTACAAGGCAACTAGAGACACCCCTCTAGCCAAAACCCCAGTACTATTTAAACTAGTCAATTCTAATCCCTTTACCTTGCCCGGCCTTGCCTTTTCCATGGAAATCCCAGTAAAGAGTCCAGGCTATGCTTTGCCCTTGCTCCTGTCTTCTGACACTGACCAAAATCTGGTGTCCTGCGGCCCTGCATGGGATGCAGTGATGGCCCTGCTGTAACCTGTGGGTAGAATAAACTGCTTCGTGCCAGGCCTGGCTTTCTTTCGCGGCAACACCGACTTTACACCCAAGATTAACATAGCCAACATTTACAAATGATGCTCCATAATCATTTTCACACTCTTGCATTGTGCAACAAATAAATCAAAATTCTTGAAGCCACAATGTCTCAGTAGTAGCTTTTGTAGAGTTTCAATATTTTGTGCACAGTGCATATCATATATAAAGGTCTCTTTCTATTGGAATTAGAAATATGTGTTTTTCACAGTGAAAGCAACATTTTAGCTTGTTTTTCTTATTTGACTTGTTTCCACATTGGGCCAGGTTGTTTAGGTGACTTGTTGCCAAAAAAAAAAAAAAAAAGATGCCAATTTCTACACATGAGCCAAAGCATTTATATAGAGAAGCTGAATCTCTCTGTGGAAATTCATGGCTTTTGTAAAACCTATTCTGGAAACAAATTGCAAAATCAGTTCAGGATTATTTTCAGTTGGATTAAGAAGCAACTTGTGATCCTGGTGAATCCAAAATCAATGTTATTTTGTTAGAACAAAGGCAGTGCCAGTGGGGAGAGGGAGACAAAGTTTTTCTTCTAATCTTTGACTTAGGTTAAGTTTTACCAAAATAATGTTAAGGAATAAGCAGTGACCTAGTTTACTTTGATTTAATAAAAATTTGGCAAAAGTGTCTAATATGGTTTCTGGCCTGATTTAATTGTGTCTGGGAAGCTGCTAATATCCATCCACATAAAAATCCCTTCCAAGCTGCCAGAATGTCCCGGCTGACTTATTTGGCAGAAAGTAGTTGCCGTGGCCTCAGACATGAACCAGCGAGAAGTTGGACTCTCTCAGTTTATGCAGACCTGACATGTGCCTTCTGGGACAGCCCCTTTGATGGTTATAGTCATCATGGCACATTTTCCACGGGCAAAAAATGTTGTCATAAAAAACACTACAACGATATTTGATGTTAGGGGTGCTATAGTACCTGAGGATGGATTCTAAACTCTAAGTTTCTATGTACCTGTAAGAGGAGGACACAGTTCAGTTTTCAAGAGAGTCAATTACCTGAGTGGTAATGGAAGTGTTACTTTCATTGTAAGCTGTGTGATATCAAAGCATATACATTTGTCCCTATGTATCTGTGAGGGATTGCTTCCACGACGTCGGGAGATATGAAAATCTGCAAATGCTCAAGTCCTGGATATAAAATGATGTAGTATTTGCATGCAACCTACACACATCCTCCTGTATACTTTCGATCATCTCTAGATTACTTATACTACCTAATACAATGTAAATGGTATGTAAATAGTTGTTATACTACATTGTTTAGAGAATAATGACAATAAAGACAAAAAGTCTGTATATGTTTAGTACACATGCAATTCCTTTTCTGAACATTTTTTATCATAGTTTGGTTCATTCCATAGATGCAGACCCCAGGAATACAGAAGGCCAACTGTATTATCCAATAAACACAAAACTTAAAGGTATATCTTGTACTATGTTTGTAAAAATGATCAAAACCATGGAACAAACTAAAACGTTTGCATAACTTCAATGGCAATCATTTTAAAACCCAAATCTAAAACTTTAAGTGCAGATAGGCTTTGTTTAAGATGAGAAATAGAATGAGGGGTTCTGTGTAAGACGAAGGGAAGAGAAGGATCTCCAGCATCCCTTTCTCACACGCCCACCCTTGGCCTTTACCACAAACCATAAAAAGGAGCTACCCTGACTCCCCACTGCAAATGAACTCTGGCTTTCACCCGCAAAGAGAATTCTACTCCAGGGCTCATGGGACGGAGGAGCATAAGGCTAAATGCAACTCAGGTTTATGCGTTTGAGCCAAATAATTGGTGAGTTTGGCCAAGATTCAAGTTCATTCTGAAGCATTAAATCAAAGTGTTAGAGGTTTGCTTCCAACAGTTTGGAAAGCCTCTAGTAGTGAATTACGAATCGGTCAAAGCCCCACTCCCACCCCATAATCAATCTAGTCGAGGTGACAGAGCAAAGTGGTGCCAGGACCTGGCCTGTGTGGCAAAAATAAGCAGAAGAATCAGAACAGTAAATTTCATTGTTAGCAGCTCTTCTGAGCAAACAGGAGGGAACGAAGAAGGAAAGGAATAATATAACAAAGCAGAGACTTGGAAGAGGAAGGATACAGTTATTCCCAAGCAGAGTTGCAGAGAAAGGGTGGGAATCAAAAAGAGGAGGGAATCTCAGCACACCCCAAACTTAGGCTAAATGGTAACAGACATTTGATAGAGGGCTTTAAATTTAAAAACCAACACACAAACAAACAAACAAACAGAAATAAAAACAAACAACAACAACAAAAAAAAAACCCTTAATGTAGGAAGAGAAAACAGAAGAGACAAGAAACCAATTGGAGCAAAGTTACATTCCCCCAAATTTATCGGAAGCGGAAGCTCCCAGGAAGAGATCTGTGAGTACCATGGACTACACTGGCTGGAAAAGTGACATTCCCCCAAATTCATCAGAAGTGGACCCGGAAGAGATCCGTGAGTACCATGGTCTACACTGGCTGGGACGGGGGTGTGGCAAGGAGGAGAAGGAAGGGCTGAGAGGCTAAGATCTTAACTCTTCAGGTTTAAAGCAATGAAGATAACAAAGTTGCTACCTAAAGGAAAACAACACTTTAATTAACTAAATACAAAGCTTTTAATTCACCAGACATAGCATTAAAATATATCATGGGGAAATAAATGTATAAATGTAAATTATACTTTCCAGATCAAGCTAATCTTGATAAACAAAATTCCAGTCTCACAGCTGACAGAACGAGGAGAATATTCAATTAAATCTCAGAATCTTTAGAAATGAAAGGGCAGATGTGAGGAAACCCTAACAAGCACATGCATTGCACCTTCTTTCTGTAAAACATAAATTGGAACGCCTTGATTAACAGTGATGTCAGCTTCTACTTAGTGCCTGCAAAGAAAGTTTCTTTCGTGTGAGAAGTTTACGACGGCTGCCCCAGGATGCTAAATGGGTTTTTATCTCAGGGACAGGGAGGGGTGGCTGGGGAACTAAAGAGTAGTGGATGATCTTAACAAATGAAAAAGGATAATGATACCAATTCAGGCTTCCCAAACAAAGATGACTAACCACACTAAGAGAAAGCTAGCAGTGTGCAAGCACGTGATATACTAAATGTTGTTGTTGTGTGTGTAAAATGACATTTCTAAAAACATTTTGCCTCTATGAGAAAACAAAATATAAATTTGTTCTTTTCTCCTTTCCCTGTGGAAAAGTCTGTACTACTATTAAATAAGGCCAGAACATTTTATCTTTTTATTTGACAGATTCTCCCGCTCTCCTTATTGAAAATAACTTAACTCCAGGAACTGCACAGCCTCTCCACAGATTCTAAATAATCATGACTCCATAGATTATCCACGAGCAGCTGTGAGGGGCACAAAGATTTTCCTAGAACAGAGTGGGGAGCATTCTGCAGCAGCCTAGAGGCAGCTTTTCCCCAGCCCTCAAGTGATTTTTAAGAGCCAGCCGGTCTGGAAAATGTCGAATTTGTTTGTAGGAAAGGTAAACACTGCCAAAATCCACAAGTTCCTTCCGTAGGGGGCTGTAGAGCAAATTGGTCTACAGATTAAGATAGTTGAGACAACTTATGTTGGAGAAGTGAACCCCTTCGGCACTGGGGATTTCCCCCAGAACTGTATTAGAAAGCTGATAAATCTCTGCTGGAGGAATTACGAACTGTATACTCAAGAGGTAAAGGAAATTAGAATGGATCTCTTCTATAAATATCTTAGACAAAGTGAATTTTTAAGTGAAAAAGTAGGCCGGGAGGTTTAGTGAATTGGGTTAAATGTCTCAGCCACAAGGGCTAGATTGCTTGTTCTGTGTGACTTCACTGTGATTAGAACTATACGAAATGGTTTCATAGGTGATTGGTTACAAGTCAAGTAAAATGCTTTGATTAAAGTGGAACTGGTAAAAATTTCCTGCATGTCCTGTAATTGGAGCTGCCAAATAAATGCATGATGCCAGCTAAATTTGAATTTCAGATACACAATAAATATTTTTTTAGTACAAGCATGTCCTAAGCATTGCACATGACATACTTATACGAAAAAATTATTCAATGTTTATCTGAAATTCAAATCAAACTGCGCATTCTCTATTTTTATTTGCTGAATCTGGCAAGCTCACCAGTAACACATATAAAATAGGCCCATGTTTTTCACACTCCCACTCTCAAACTCACACTGAATTCATATTTGAATAAGTATGGCCAGGCTCTATGTCTAGAACCATTAAGATTAAGTATTATTTATGAGATGAAAATCCAGGCAGGGTTTTCTATGTAGTTAATTCTAAGAGTTACTTTGGGGAATTGAGTTTCTTAAGGTTTCTTCTAGGTTGTATTTTATAACTATCCAGGGAGTTTTTAAGAATCCCTATGTCCCGGATTCAGCTCAAACTAATGAAGCTAGAACCCCTGAATAGGACCCAGGCCTCTCTCCTTTTTAAAGCTTCCTGGCAACACCAAAGTGCTGCCAAGGTGAGAATCACTGCTCTAGATGGGTTGGTACCAACCTGCCAATCTGTGATCACAAAAACAAAAACAAAAAGGTGACTATTGCTTGCATTGCTGAATGTCATTTCAGTTAGCAGAAAATGTAGTAGCTTTTTTTTTTCTCCTTCCATGTCTGTAATTCAAAAGAACATACACAGCCACTGAAGGGAGCTAAATGGAGGTGTGAAGAATAGTGAAGAGAAGAAGGTCTGTAAAAAATTTCTAAACAATATCTTCAAATATAGCAGGCATATAAAGACTGTATCAGGCTGGGTTTTATTGGCACAGCTGTTAAGTTAAACATCCACAAATCTACGCTCTTATCAAGGGATTAAAACTATATAGAAACATACATGTTTACTTTCACAGTGCATAGAGAGTCACAAAGTGTATATTTCAAGGACATAGTACTCCACTGTTTGATTTTGTTTTTTCTAAAAATATTTCCTATCAGTGTCAGTTATAGAACTCTGAAAAATGACAGAAACACCCAGCCAAATTTACTATTTTTTATTCAAATCATGGGTTCCTTTCAATTCCAATGTGCTGTTAAAACTACTACATGTTGCAAAGATCACTAAGGTTGGTTTATTTCAGCAAATGTAACTGACAGCTGAGGCAAATGTAATGCCTGAAGACTAATACAGGAAAATTCTTTCTGGGTTTGTCCTAGAAGTGGACTGATAAGCCTGCTGCAGTGATGTATGCTTTCAAGCATTCCTTGTCAGAAAGCCCCAAGAATTTTTATATTATTAAAACCCCAGTCCCAGTACTTGCAAGGAGAGTTCCAAAGCAAGCTTCCGTATCTTATCACATACCACTGGCCCCACAGTGCATTTTGACACAAAGTATATTTACTTTCAACACTGACACATTCCCATTGCTCTACTCATGCCTCTCCTGGATTTAAGAATGCCATATACACTTTTCAACAAGTTGTTTTGTAATTTCAGTCCTCAAAATGCTAAAGAGTTCTAAAAAGAATAGAGTTAACCAAATCTTTCATTAGTACTAGAGAACTGATTGTCCCTATACACAGCGCTGATAGAATTTTTGGTTTGCCTGGTGTAGAAATCAAGAAATTATTTCATGTTTTATTTCATCTCCGCTCCCTTGTGATACTAAATACTGTCTATATTTAAATTCAAGGTATTTTCCTTTGCTGGAATTGTGCCTTCTATATTAGGGGGCACACATTGGTTAAGTGAAAAAAGGAGTTGTCTGTCATCAGATTCACCCCAAAATGCATATGATTCCTATGATCCTGTCCTTCTATACTTCTCTGTTCTTGTTCTATGTGTTCTCAAGCAATGCTCTCATCCACCTCAAACTCTTACATCTTCTCCTATGTATTACTCCCAAATGTGTATTTCCATCTCTAAAATATCTTCTAAGTTAAAATCTCATTTTTCCAGTTGTCCACGGAACATATCTCAGCTCCCTAGGCTCAAAAACTTTGACACATCAACCTTCACATAGTCAACTAGTTTACTCACCCTCTCTTCTTCCATAAGAGGTTCCCTATCTGTCTCTTCATGTACATTCCTGTTTCCAACTTCCTGTATCAGCAGCCTTCATTAACTCATATCCAGACTATTACTATAACCTCCTATTTGAGCTCCCTAAATCTCCTCCATATATAGTCCTGATCATGACACTCCCAAGGGTAAAAGCATTTTTTTTTTAAAGCTTAGTGTATTTTTATTCTCTACTGACTAAACAGACCATGCTAAAGATATGGAAATTAGAGCCTGGGAATATCAGTGAAGAGGGATTCTAGCAAATACTTCAGGATCTCAGTGGGAATCCTAGAAGTCTACACCCTAGGAGTATGGGACAACCAGAGGTAGACAGCCATACAGTAATTGCAACCAGCATTGAGTTGCACTCCCTGATCAGATTCATATCATCTGATGCAACACTGTTTCTAATACAGGCCAGGGTAAATGCTCTTGAAAAAAATATATCATCCAGAGTCTGCAAAATGTCTGTCATTCAATAAAAATTTACTAGGCATGCCATGAACTGTGACCAAGGAAAAGCAGTAGAAACAAACCCTCGATTTAACCAAGTTATTGAAGTGATTAGAGATGGGCTTTAAAACAGCTGTATTTAATATTTTTCCAGAAGTAGATGACATAATAGAACATTTTACTAGAGAATTGGTATCTATTAAAAAGAATGAAATAAAAGTTCTAGAGTTGAAAATGTGACACACTGAAATTTAGACTTGATAGACAAGTTTAACAGCAGATTGATACAACAAAAGAATTAGAGAGCTATTCAGGAGAAAAATACAGGCTGAAGCATAGAAACCAAAATAAAGGGATAAAGTAATACAGGAAAAATATGCATGGATATATGTACAGATTATAGAAGTATACATATACATATGTGTATGAGATATACAATATGTGTATATGAGACATGGAGAAAAATTGCAACTTATATATAATTCAAGTCTCAGAAGAATGGAGAGAGAACAAGGCAGAGAAAATATTGGACAAGATAGTGGTTTTCAAAATATGGCCAAAAAATCAAATCAAGATGCAAATCTTAGAAAAACTGCAGATCATCAGGAGGATAAAACACACATACGTATGTGCACACACACACACATGCCCACACCTCTAGTCGAATTATAGAAATTCTTCTGAAACTAGGGACAAAAGAAAATATTAAAAAAGTCTAAAGAAAAACATTATCTAAAGAAGCAATGAAGATTTACAGCTGATGTCTTAATAGAAATGATGAAATCAAGAAGACAAGGGGTGACATCTTTAAAGTGCTGAAAGAAAAAAACAGCCAACCTATAATTCTATACCTAGAGAAAATATTCCTCAAAAGTGAAAGAGAAATAGGTATTACCATCCATACAAAAACTGAGACAATTTGTTGCCAGCAGACAAGAATACACAAAAAAGAAATTCTTTTTTTCCAAATTTATTTATTTTTAAAATCGACATATAAAATTGCATGTATTTATTGTATACAACATGATGTTTTGAAGTACATATACATTGTGGCATGGTTAAATTTAGCTAATTAACAAATGCATTGCCTCACGTAGTTATCATTTTTTGGCAACAACACTTAACATCCACTTTCTCGGCATTTTTCAAGAATACAATATATCGTCACGAACTATGGTCACCATGCTGTATGATGGATTTGACATGGCAGAAGGAAAATGATCTCAGGTAGCAACACAAAAATGCAGGAAGAAATTAAAAACAACAGAAAGTATCTGAGTGATTGGAATCTAGTAGATGGATTGGATTTTGTGAGCCAATAGAAATGGACAGCTGTTCATTAAGAGTACTCCAGTGTTGGCCTCTCCAGTGACTCTTAACTCCATCAGGGCAGGACGTTTTTCTTATTCCCTGTTGTTACATTAATGCCTGAAACTGTGACTGGCATATAGTAGGCACTCAACAAACTGTTCAATTGAATGACTGAATGAATATTGTCTTCAAGTTTGCACTGTATTTAAAATTTGGGGGTAATAATAGACATGACCTTAGTTACCTAGACACAATGTTAAGGAGATTATGGACTGAGATGAAAATCCATGCTTATTTTTGGGGAAGGAAAGACCGGGAGAAAAGAGAGAGGAAAGGAAAAGACGCAAACTCATAATATTGTGGAGCCAATGCAGAAAAGGTTAAGGGTGAGAGCTCAATCCAATTGCACTCTGTGCTCTTAATATGTTGGAAGGAAAATCTTGTAGCAGTGGTGCAGAAAAGGCAGCCAAGTTTCTTTTTGGAAATATTTAGTCATTTATCATTTGTAGCTCAATACCATATCAAAGGTCTTAGTAGCAATTTTAAGGCAACACAATAAGGCTAAATATATCCACAATGAGGATTATCCTAAAGGAAAGGAAACCAAGGGTGATGCATATGTTAGCAGGTTTCTAATCAGTGAGACTCACTGCTGTTCTCCCTGTTAAGCTGAGATGGAATGGCTGCTACCCCAAGTGAGTAAGGTGACTCCCTGCTACCATCACCTCAGCATGCCAACAGCACAGCACTGCCGTTATCATCCCAGAGTGGTCAGGAGCTCATGCTATTTTTTCTGCGAGTCTGGGGAAAGATATGTTGGTTTCACAGTAGGGGAATAGTAGACAAGTGTCACAGTACCACACAGACAGGCAGAGAAAGGGAAACAGATTGGGGTCTTTAAAAAACTAGCTACAGGCATCAATTACTAAGATTTAAAACTAAAACCAAATTGTAAGAAAAAGGCATATATATTGGAGGTAGGATGGGGAACATTTGTAGATGAAACAAATAAGATGACTAAAACGTAATTTTCTATATTTAATTAAATGTTAAAACTATAGAATTTATTTTCTAGCTGATGAAAACTAAGAAAATTAGCTAATCTGTAATTTTATAAGTATTAACCACCTACTTTTATTTTATAATAATTTTATTAACGTATATTGATAGATGTTTCTATTAATAGATAGCATTACCCAGGTTTTTGTAAAAGATATATTGTATAAAATAGATATTTTAAAATCACCTTTCTTGAAGAAAATTAGTACCTTTAAAAGAGACCAAAACTCCATTAATTAATATTAAATTATTTTTAAATGAATTAAAATGGGCTATTTCTATACTCGCAAGGGCAGAGATAACATAAAGATTTTAGAGGTATTTTACAAGAGCTTACACAGGGGGAATTATTTCTTTCTCTCCTTTTTTACCAGAAATGATTATTATATAGATCCTTTTGGGGAGTACAGTTACCTATAAATATTTCCAGTTATAAAGCCAGAGTCTCTAGGCACCTTGGCTCTCTTTAAGCTACTTCCAATTAACTCAAGTTTTATCACTAGTCATTATGGAAGACAAATAGGAATGAGGTTCTCTCCTACCACTGAGAATGAGGTCAGAATGTTGGAAGAGGTAGAAGAAGTTTATTACAATCCTGATGGCATTTGTAGTCAGCTAGAACCTCAGTGATAAGTTTCCAAAATAAAAGCTTGGCAATTAAGAACTTAAAAAATTTTCAGACCTCTCATTTCACCTGGCCTTGAATACTTGTCTTGGTGTTCAAATGACTAAGAAAGAATATATAAACTTCATGTCATAGGATTGGACAGACAATAAGCTTCCAATAAGTGTTATTTCCTTTACCCCATTGAAATTTATAGTTGGTACTTCTCATCTACATGCATCAATTATTGTCATATGAAACAACTACCTAACTGCTGCTAATACTGATGGTTTATGTTTGCGTTACTTGAGAATTTCACATTAGTATAGAATTAACTGAGCTCAAGATGGATCAGTTATTTACTTAATATCTTACTATTGGCTTTGTATTTCTCTAAACAAGTTTTAGAAGTACACACACACACACACACGTGCACACACATATAATATCCTGCTGCTGCTTGGTTTTAATAAACAGAAAGCACCTAAGTAAACCAAATTACAACTATAAAATCCCTATCATTAATAGACAGGATCCTTCTCACTAGAAATTGTCATGCTTTCATAATTCTTCCTCAACCAGTGAGTTTGGTAGGTTAGTCATTTCAGGCTGGCTTCTGTCCTTGTTTGTCATGTCTACGTCACAAGGGTGTTGGAAGGATTAATTAGTTAACATGCAAGTTTCTTTGAAGATGAAAGCACTCTGAAATTGCTAAGTGGTGCTAGCATTCCTTCATAGTACATATTCTTCCTTTTATATTTGTAAAGATTTATCCACCTCCTATTAACCCTTTTGACTAACATTATTTACTCAGATTTTTTAAAATAATCAACTAGCTTGTGTTTTCCTCTACAGGCCTCAAATAGTTTTTTTAACTGATGTCCTCATTTCTCTTCTCAGTTTTTTCTTATGTGTATTTTTTCTCTCACTGAGAGGACCTGATATCCTTTTTCAAATCCTGCTGTTTATTTTCTTCTAGTTACATTTTTGTATCTGCTGGAATTGTGGACTGGTATACCAAAAGATCACTAAAGAGAAAAAAATTCACTATTGTGAAATATTAGAAGCTTGGGCCATGAGCATTATTAACTTGGATCAATTATCCCAGTCCAAAGGGCAGGCAAATCTGTCTGTGCAGTTCGGTGGTGCTGTGGGCGAACAGCTGAGCAAGAAAGAACAAGTGCCTTACTCCAAGGGTCTGAATTTTCACATGCAGTTATCTAAAAAGGCTTGTGTGAGACTGAGTGTACACTGAAAGAAATCTGATGAGGTTCCCTCAAGTATTCCAACTTCTTACCCTGGGTACAGCTAATGGTATCCAGCCCCATGGGCTATGGCTCTGCAAACCAGAGGAAGGAGTTCCTCCAGCAGACCCAAGCTGGGAGGAGGAGGCTCATTTCCAACAAACTCTGAAACACAGGGATGCTTACTACAGAGTTGTCACAATTATTTTAGCTGCTTAAATCTGCAAAGCAGAGCTGGTTTCCCACAATGAAATCCTGGGGTTTTCTTCACAGTTCCGACTATAAAGTATCCCTCAAATATTTTCCACTATGCTTTCAGCATTTTCCATTCTGATTGTAAGTGGGACCATGAAATGTTTAAAAAAATCATTTTTAAAAAGAGGTGCCTGTTTTATTACACATAAATATATATTTGTATTTAAGATGTACAATATAATGATTTGATATACACATACATCATGAAATGGTTACAATTAAGCTAATTGACACTTCATGTTATTTTAAAAATATATTCTCCCCAAGAGACAATGGTGCTGACCAATCTCTTTTCATTAAAGAGTTGACAAAAACATAACTACATGCAAATGCTTCTGTCTTTGCATTTTGTCATTCTACTAACATTTAGATATATTAAAATATATTTTTCATGGTTTCTAACTCAAATAGAATGAGCAGAAACCTGTAAAATATCGATAAAATAAAATGAAAAATGATCTTGCCACAATGTATTTATTATAATTGCATACAACAAATACTCACACATAGATATACCTGTGTATGAATATATCTACATTAGAAATCTTTAATTATAATCTTCATATACAAAGGCACATTTCAAAAAATACCCATTTCTTTAACATACTGAAGACAAAAACTAACAATACATCCAAACTCTTAAAACCCAAATGAATTTTACCTTATAAGGAGAAAACGAACAATAAACCCAAACTCTTAAAACCTAAATGACCTTTACCCTGTAAATTTCCACATTAGTATGGTTAGAATTTATGCCTAGAAAGAATAATCTCAATTCTTTGGGGTTTTGTAAAAGGTAAAGAATTAAATTTGTTATGCTCAACAACTTTTACTTATGATTTTTAAATATATATATTTTATCTATCAAATATTATATTTATTGTTTCTATATTAGATTTTAGGTGAAAGTGTCTATATGCAATTCTAATTAGCATTTTAAAATATTTTCTTCCCCAAGACATTTTAAAAAAATTAAGTAATTTATTCTTAGAATTGAGAAATTAGTTCTTATTTTCAAAAAAGGAATAAATAATAATATATCTGTGAGAGTATTTTGTATTTTTCAATACATTACTTTTTTGATGACCATAATGCCCTATAAAATAGGTTGAGAAGCTAGTATTTCCTTTATTTTAAGGCTAAAGAGAAATAAAGACATGGAAATAAAACATTAAGCAAGGGGGGGAAAGAGTCAGAGTTAAGTCATTCAACTGGTGACCAAGCACCCTAGAGGAACAAGTCAACCAGACTGGAGGAAGCTCAGTCTAGCCCTGGGCTCCAGTTCAAATCTTCTCACCAAAAATTGTGTGTATTTTTTCAAAAGAAGACGTATGAGTGGCCAAGAAACACATGACAAAATGCTTGACATCACTAATCATCAGAGCAATGCAAATTAAAACCAAGATGAGATGTCATCTTACATCAGTCAGAATGGCTATCATGAAAAAGTAAAAAAATAACGGATGTTGGTGAGGATGCCAAGAAAAGGGAACACTTGTGTACTGTGGGTGGGAATGTAAATGAGTAGAACCTCTACAGAAAACAGTATGGAGATGTTTCAAAGAAGTAAAAATACATCTACTGTTTGATACAGCAATCCCACTACTGGGTATATCCCCAAAATAAAATAAATAAGTATATCAAAGAGACACCTGCAGTTGTGTGTTCATTGCTGCAGTATTCAAAATAGCAAAGATATGGAATCAACCTAAGTGTCCATCCATGCATGATTGGATAAAGAAAATGTGATTTTATATAATGTATGTGTATATATATATATACACACACTTATATATATACTTTATATGTATATACACACTTTATAGAAAGTGCATGTGTGTGTGTGTATATATATATATATATATATATATAGTATTCCATACATACTGGATAAAGAAAATGTGTGTAAAAATGTGATTGTGTACGCACACACGTATATATATATGATATTCCATACATATTATGGAATACTACTCAGCCATAAAAAAGAATGAAATTATGTCTTTTGCAGCAACATGGTTGCAACTGGAGGCCATTATCCTAAGTGAAATAACTCAGAAACAGAAAGCCAAGTACCACATGTTCTCACTTGCAAGAGGGAGCTAAATAATGGGTACACATAGACATACAGATGGAATAATAGACATTGGAGATGCCAAAAGGCAGAAGGGTGGAAGAGGTGCTGATGGAAGAAATACTACCTATTGGGTACAATGTACACTCTTCAGGTAATGGGTACACTAAAAGTCCAGACTTTACCACTATGCAATATATTCATGTAAGTCAACTGCACTTGTATCGCCTAAATCTATTTTAAAATTTCAACTTCTAAATTTAAAAAAATTAAAATTAAACAAAAAATTTAAAAAATTAAAAATTATGTCTATATAGCCTTGATAGGCCACATAGCATTTTAAAAACCATAATTCAATCCAACTTGTATGAATTATTTAAGATCACTGTAAGAGTTATTTATAAACTATAAGGTGCATTTCAAACATAAGGCATTTTTAAAAGATTAGTTAATTTGGCTAAATATGAAATTTGAAGCTACCATAAATCAAAACTTTAAAACAGGGCAGCTGACAAAATTAATTGCAACACATAATTTTTTTTTTTTTGAGATGGAGTATCACTTTGTCACCCAGGATGGAGTGCAGTGGCGCGATCTTGGCTCACTGCAACCTTTGCCTCCTGGGTTCCAGAGATTCTCCTGCCTCAGCCTCCTGAGTAGCTAGGACTACAGGCTCCCGCCACCACACATGGCTAAGTTTTGTATTTTTTTAGTAGAGGCGGGGTTTCACCATATTGGCCAGGCTGATCTTGAACTCCTGACTTCGTGATCTGCCTGCCTCTGCCTCCCAAAGTGCTGGGATTACAGGTGTGAACCACCACGCCTGGCCCGACACATAATAATTTAACAGCTAATATTTTTAATGTTTAATAATAGTTTACATATCCATAGTAGAAATATAAATATGATTTAAAAAATGAACACAAGACCAAAAACGTATTGCACAAATATAAATTGCCAATAACATTTGAGAATAATTTCATTCTCATTAGTTCTCAAAAATGCAAATGAAAATAACAATAAAATACCAATTTTATCTAATTGGCAAAATACTTTTAGAGTACATATTAGTAAGTGTGTGGTAAATTAAGCCCTCATACTCTTGAATGAACATACACAATCATAACCCTATGGAAGTCAGGTTAGGGATGTCAATCAAAACCTGAAGTAAGGTGCATTTGCTTTCATCTAGCAATTCTTCTGTAATTAACTCAGTGCATCCAAATATGTGTTTATTGAGGATTTAACAAATGAATAAATATTGGATAACATAAATGTTCAACAATAGAATGGTAAAACATTACCATGCTATACAATTATTAAAACTGATGATAAGAGAACTTATTAATGTAAAAAGATGTTCCTAAATATAGTTATAAGATTAAAAAAGTTATCTATAATATTACCTATTTTTGTAATGTACATTCATATACATACATAGAAGGATAGGAAATGAATTTACATTGTATTACTTATATTATCTAATTTTTAATGAATAGGTATGAGTTTTACACCCAGAAAAAAAAGTTGTTTCAATAGTGAAAAGGAAAATAGCTTAAAAATAAGATTTCAAAACATTTTAATATACCAAATCACCAGTGTTTCTCTTCAATTATTGTACTTAACTAAACATAAATACATTAAATCTTTCAAAGCTGGATAAAAGGTACACCAAAAATCCTAAATTTCATTTTTTCCATCATTTTAATTATCCTTTAATAGTCAACTTTATATCAGTATCATTAATGTCTCATATATTAAGTTTATTTCTCTGTCTTTTGTGGTATATGGCACTATTATTACCAACTGTTCACTTTCCTCTCTGTAGGAGAAACTATATATCTGTGCCCATTCCCATGTGACTTACAGAGATAAGTCCTCCTGTGGGATTTTATTTGGCCCATGAAATATGAATGCAAGTAATATCCAACTGGAGGCTTTAAGAGCCATTTCTCCTTCCCTCTGCCATATAAACTGTATGTCATAGATGGGGGATGGAACTTTAACCCAGATCATACAATGAAGGAAAATTGTGGGATCCAGAACAAAGCTGTCATTGAATCATAACCAACATGTAACTTGAGTGAGAAGTAAACCAGAAAATCTGTTTGTCAAATAAGACATCTTAACCAAGATCCAGCCTTTACAAACAATTTCCGTAATACAGTTGAGACGCATGGACAAAAAAGAGAGAGGCTTTGGACTTCCTGATTGACTCTCCAGGAGAGTCTTCCGCTGAAGAAAAGCTCTCTGTTATCAGTGTGGTCACCTCACAGAGCCATGACAAATTTGGTTATAAAACATCTCTACCTTATACTCTAGAAAATTGTACAGCCAATTAGATATTTTTCAGAGACAGATGCATTATAAATTCATAGATTCTAGGGTTTTTTTTTTTTTTTTGCCATAAACAACCCTAAGCCAGGGACATCCTGCGAAGAGCTCTCTATAGGTAAGAACTCTCTAGTCACAGCAGTTGTCACTGGTTTTCAGCACATTTGCTGAAAATCAAATCATGCCACCTAATTTCTTTCTTTGGTAGTATCCCCTTGGTAACTGGAAAAGAAATTAATCATAAGCCACTTGCTTTGCATCCTTCCTCCGCAAGAGCAAACAATTTTGCCATAGGATTAAAAAATAATACAACTAGTAAGTAGTGGCAGCATTAATATTCATGTTGAAATGTATTCATCATTTGTCAGATGCCAAGTAGATAAGAACCTAGCATACATTAGCTCCTTAGAGCCCCACGACCATTCTATGAGATAGATATCGTTACCATCCACAGTTTTGAGATGATTGAATTAAGAATTAAGCAGAATGAATACATGCAAAATGTAAGGGTCACCAAAAATTTCACTAATCAAGATAGATGATATGTTAATGCAATATTTTTAATAATCCACAGTAATGCAAAAAATCATAATAAACTAAGTATCAAAATATTTTAAAAGACAACATGATTATTATCTTTTTTGTTCTTTCTTTTGCTTCAATATTGCTCAGCATAGCATTGATGTTGACACTGATCTTGTCTTTACATAAAATGTTGATATTTTGTTCATCATGAACTTTTTTCATAATTATTTTTTCATAATTTTTAATAATTATTTTTAAAATATTGCATTAAAATATTATTTATCTTGGTTACTGAGCTTTTTTAGTCAATAAACTTTATTTGAGCAGTTTTAGCCTTACAGCAAAATTGGGTGGCAAGTACAGAGTTCCCTTACCCCCATCCCCACACACACAACCTCCCTCACTATCAACATCCCCTGCCAGATTGGTATATTTGTTATAATTGATGAACCTACATCAACATATCACTGTCACCCAAAGTCTATAATTTACATTAGGGTTCACTCAGTGTTGTGCATTCTATGGGTTTTGACAAACATATAATGACATGTATCCACCACTGTAGTATTATATAAAATAGTTTCACTATACTATGTCCTAATGATGATGTGTGTTCTGCCTATTCATCTCACCTTTCTCCCCAACTCATTGCAACCACTAATCCTTTTACTTCCTCCACAGTTTTGCCTTTCCAGATTGCCATTTATTTGGAATCATACCGTGTGTAGCATTTTCAGATTGGCTTCTTTTACTTATTAATATGTATTTAGGTTTCCTCCATGTCTTTTCATGACTTGATAGCTCATTTCTTTTTAGTGCTGCATAATATTCCATTGTCTGAATGCACCACAGATTATTTAGTCAATCAACTACTGAAGAATAACTTGGTTGTTTCCAAGTTTTGGCGATTACTACTTAAGCTGTTATAAACATCCATTTGCAGATTTTCATGTAAACATAGGAGCATGATTGCTGGATCCGATGGTAAGAGTAGGTTTAGTTTTTTTGTTTGTTTGTTTTTACCTATTATATCCTCAAATGTTTTATTTATTTATAAATATTTTTTTATTATTATACTTTAAGTTTTAGGGTACATGTGCACAATGTGCAGGTTAGTTACATATGTATACATGTGACTTGCTGGTGCGCTGCACCCACTAACTCGTCATCTAGCATTAGGTATATCTCCCAATGCTATCCCTCCCCACTCCCCCCACCCCACAACAGTCCCCAGAGTGTGATGTTCCACTTCCTGTGTCCATGTGTTCTCATTGTTCAATTCCCACCTATGAGTGAGAATATGCGGTGTTTGGTTTTTTAAAAAAATGCAAAAACCTGCCAAACTATCTTCCAAAGTTGATGTTGTCAGTGTTTTGAATTTTTGCCATTCTCATAAGTGTTCAGTGGTATCTCATTCTTGCTTAAATTCACAATTCCCTAATGAGATATAATGTTGATTATCTTTTCATATGCTTACTTGACATCTGTATTTCAAATTGGGTGAAGTGTCTGTTGAGATTCTATTTTAATCATATCATCTCTTTGTCTTTTTATTTCACCAATAACACACTCTCTTGATTAATGTAGCTTTATAGTAAATCTTGAAGTCAGGTAATGTCAGTCCTCCAACTTTGTTCTTCTTCAACATTGAGTTAGTTATTCTGAGTCTTTTACCTCTCCATGTAACCTTGAGAAATCAATTTGTCAATATCCTCAAAATTATATGCAGAGGTTTTGACTGAGATTGTGTTGAATCTACAGGTCAAGTTGGAAAGAACTGACATCTTGACAATACTGAGTCTTGATATACATGAGCACGGAATATCTCTCTATTCATTTAATTCTTTTGTGATATCTTTTATCAGAATTTTGTAGTTTCCTTCATGTAGCTCTTATATGTATTTTTTTATTTATCCTGAATTATTTAAATTTGGAAGATGCTAATGTAAATGGTAATGTGTTTTTAATTTCAAATTTCATTTGTTCATTGCTGGTATATAGGAAAGTGGTTGACTTTTGTATATTAACCTTGTGTGTTGCAAACTTGCTATAATCACTTATTAGCATCAGGAGCTTTTTTTGTTGATTCTTTCAATTTTCTACATAGATGATCATGTTGTCTCAGAGCATAGACAGTTTTATTTCTTCCTATATGCATTTTATTTCCTATTCTTTTCTTATTGTATGAGCTGGGACTTCCATTATAATATTGAAAAGAGGTGTTGAGAGGGGACGTCTTGCCTTGTTGATCTTAGGAGAAAAACCTAAATTCCTCACAATGATGTATGATATTAGCTACAGGTTTTTTGCAGATGTTCCTTATCAAGTTGAGGAAGTTTCTGTCTGTTCCTAGTGTGCTGAGAGCTTTTATCATAAATGAGTGTTAGATTTTGTCAAATGCTTCTTTTGCATGTATTGATATAATCATGTGTTTTTTTTTCTTTAGCCTGTTAATGTTATGAATTACATTAGTTGTTTTTAGAATGTTGAACCAGCCTTTGAATACTTTGGAGAAATCCCCAATGGTATAGGGTATAATTGTTTTTCATACCTTGTTGAATTTAACTTACTAAGAATGTTTTGAGACTCTTTGCATCTGTGTTCATGAGAGATATTTTTTCTGTGATGTTCCTTTCTTATAATGTCTTTGTCTGGTTTTGGCATTAGAGTAATGCTCATCTCATAAAATGAGTTAGTAGGTATTCTTTCTGTGGTTATCTTATGAAAGAGATTGTTGAGTACTGATATAACTTCTTCCTTCAAAGTTAATTTACTAGTGAACCCATCTGTACCTGGAACTTTCTGTGTTGGAAGGTTAGCAGTTATTGATTCTATTTCTTTAATAGATATAGACCTATTCAGAATCTGTTTCTTCTAGCATGAGTTTTGGAAGATTGTTTCTTTCAGGGAAATGACCCATCTCATCCAGGTTACTAAATTTGTGGACATAGAGTTCTTCACGATATTTCTTTATTAATCTATTAATGGCTGTGGGATCTATAGTGATGTCTCTCTTTTATTTCTGACATTTGTAATTTGTATCATCTCTCTTTTTTCTCAGTTAGCATAGCTAGAGAATTATCATTTCTATTGTTCTTTTCAAAGATCCAGCTTTTGGTTTCACTGATTTCCTCTTTTCAGTTTTGTTGATTTCTACTCTAGCTTTTATTATTTATTTTCCTCTTTGAATTTAATTTACTCTCTTTTATCTAGTTTCCTATGGTGTAAGCTTAGATAATTAATTTTAGGTCTTTCTTCTTTTTTAATATAAGAATTCATTGCTCTAAATTTCCTCTAAACATTACTTATGTTGCATCCCACAAATTTTGATAAGTTGCATTTCCATTTTCTTTTAGTTTAAAATATCTTTAAATTTTGCTTGTGTTTCTTCTTTGAGTCGTATGTTACTTAGAAGTATGTTGTTTAATCTCCATGTACTTTGGTATTTTTCAACTATCTTTATGTTACTGATTTCCAGTTTAATTCCACTGTGGTCTGAGAGCAGACATTGTATAATTTCTATTCATTTAAATTTATTTAGGTGTGTTTTATGGCCCAGAATGTGGTCTATCTTGGTGAATGCTCCATGTGACCTTGAAGAATGTGTATTCTGCTGTTGTTGAATAACGTAATTAATAGATGTCAATTATATCCAGTTGATTGATGGTGCTGTTGTGTTCAACTTTGTCCTCACTAATTGTCTGCCTGCTGGATCTGTCTATTTCTGACAACAGAGGAGTGCTGAAATCTCCAACTATAATAGTGGATTATCTGTTTCTTCTTGTAGCTCTGTCCAGTTTGCCTCACACATTTTGATGTGCTGTTGTTAGGCATATACACTTAAGGATTTTTATGTTTTCTTGAAGAATTGATCCCTTTATCATTATGTACTGTCTTGCTTTATCCCTGATAACTTCCCTGTTCTGAAGTCCCCTTTTATGAAATTAATATAGCTACTCCTACTTTCTTTTAAATAGTGTTATCATAGTATATCTTTCTTTATCCTGTTACTTGTAATCTATATGTGTTGTTGAAGTATGCTTCTTCTAGACAACATATAGTTGAGTTTTGTTTTTTGATCCACTCTGACAATCCCTGTCTTTTAATTGGGGCATTTTGACCATTGACCTTTACATAATATTGATATAGCAGGATTAATATATACCATATTTGTCACTGTTTTCTCTGCATTTTTTCCATGTTTCCATTTTTGTTTTCCACTCTTTTCTGCTTTTTTCTGGTTTTAATTGGGCATTTTATATGATTCGGTTTTCTCTTTTTTTCTTAGCATATAAATTATACATTTTTAAAACTCTCTTTAACATTTGCCCTAGAGCATGCAATATATATTTACAACTAGCCCAAGTCTACTTTCAAATAAAACTATAGCAGTTCACAGGTGGTACAAATACCTTATAATAAGTGAATATTTATTATTTTGTTCCTCCTGTCCCTTATATCATTGCTGTAATTCATTTCACTTATATAGGAACATACATAAGTATGCTTAGGTGAAATGTCTGTCTATACACACACACTTAAGCATACATAATCTAATACATTGTCCTAATACAGTGTTGCTACCATTATTTTGGGCAAACTGTTATCTATTAGATTAAGATTGGAAAGATAAAGGTTTTTATTTTACCATCACTTATTCATTCTGTGATGTTCTTCCTTTCTTTATTTAGGTAGATCTGAGTTTCTGACCTATATCATTTTCCTTCTCCTTGAAAAACTTCATTTAACATTTCATGCAAAGCTGGTCTACTGGCAACAGACTTCCTCAATTTTTGTTTGTCTAAGAAAACTTTTATTTTTCATTCACTTTTGAAGAATAATATTACAAGGTACAGAATTCTAAGTTGGTGCTTTTCTCCCTCAACACTTTAAATATTTCACTCAACTCTCTGCTTCCTTACATTGTTTCTGAGGAGAGGTTGGATGTAATTTTTATCTTTGCTCCTCCCTAGGTAAGATTTTTCTTCTCCTGACTTCTTTCAAGTTTTTCCTTTATCTTTGAATTTCTCCAGTATGGGTATGATATGTCTAGGTGTGATGTTTTGGCATTTGTTATGATTAGTGTTCTGGGAGCTTCCTATATCTGTAGTTTTGGTTTGACATTGATTAGAGGAAAATCTCAGCCATTATTACTTCAAATATTGCTTCTGTTCCTTTCTCTCTTTCTTTTCCTTCTGGTATTCCCATTATGTGTATGTTACATCTTTTGTAATCATCTCACAGTTCTCTTTTGTCTTTTAAAGACTTTTTTCATCCTTTTGCCTTTAAGATTTGTAAGTTTGTGTTTTCATATCTTCAAGCTCAGAATTATTTCTTCAGTCATGTCCCATCTGCTAATAATTCCATCAAAAATATTCTTCACTTCTGTTATAGTATTTTTTATCTCTAATATTTTCTTTTAGTTGTTTCCTAGAATTCCTATGTCTCTGCTTACATTTTGTGGCCTTGTATGATGTACTTTTTTCTTTTTTTAAGACGGAGTCTCGCTCTGTCTCCCAGGCTGGAGTGCAGTGGCGTGATCTCCCCTCACTGCAAGCTCCGCCTCCCGGGTTCATGCCATTCTCCTGCCTCAGCCTCCCGATTAGCTGGGACTACAGGCACCTGCCACCATGCCCGGCTAATTTTTTGTATTTTTTACTAGAGACAGGGTTTCACCGTGTTAGCCAGGATGGTCTCAATCTCCTGACCTTGTGATCCGCCCACCTCAGCCTCCCAAAGTGCTGGGATTAAAGGCGTGAGCCACCGCGCCTGGCCGATGTACTTTTTTCTTTAAAGCCTTTAATATATTCATTTTAGCTTATTTTAATTCCTGGTTTGATAATCCTAACATTTTTGCCATATCTAACGCTGGTTGTGATGCTTGTTGAGTGTTCAAACTGATCTACTTATTTTAGTATGCCTTATAATTTTGTGTTGAAAGGCAGACTTGACATACTGGGTAAGAAGAATTGTGCTAAATGGGCCTTTAGCGACAGGGTGGGAAGGTGTGGGTAAGGGAGGGTTCTATAGTCCTGTGATTAGGTCTCGTCTTTGGTGAGCCTGAGCCTCTGGACTGTAAACTTCATCAGTGCTGCTCAGGTTTCTTTCTTCTCTCTTAAGTGGGACAGGGTGGCTGGAGGGGGTTAGAGTCATGTCTGCCTTTATCTAGGTCGGTCAGGCTCTGATATAACTTCAGCATGTTAGGCTGTGGTAAAATAATTTCTCCTGAGGGCAGGCCTTGTTAAGAACAGAATGTTCCGAGGTATTTCAAGCTGCTTCCTTTTCCCCTATCCCTGCCAAAATATATAAATAATTCTCTAAAATTAATAAGTGAAATGCAAACAAGACCTACAAATAGGCAATTTGGAAAAAAAAATGGCCAATGAACCCATGAAAAGAAATCCTCACTAATAACTGGGAAAACGCAAAATAAAACAATAATGAGAACTATTTTACACAATAAGATTGGCAAAAAAATAACAAGCTTGACTATACCAACTGTAGGTAAGGACAAGAAACACTGGAGTGTTTATAAAGTGCTGAGTGGTTTAAAATGATCTTAGCTATTTAGGAGAGCTATTTGGCATTATCTATTAAAACTGAAGGAGCAAGTTCCATGACTCATTGATTTTATTTCCAGGTATAAACACTATTAAAAAAACCTCTCATCTTTGTGTGCAGAGAGACACGTAATAAAATTCTTACAGCAATATGTTTATAGCTTAACGTTGAGTACAGTCAGCCCTCCAAATCCAGTGGGTTCCACATTAATGGATTCAACCACCTGCAGATTGAAAATATTTGGAGGAAAAAGTAAAAAATAAAAATACAAAACTAAAAACAATACGAATTAAAGAACAAAGTTGTATAAAAGCTATTAACATAGCATTTACATTGTATTAAGTATTATAAGTAATCTAGAGATGTTTCAAATATAATCATGTGCCACATAGCAACATTTCAGCCAACAGTGAACTGCATGTATGATGGTAGTCCCATGAGATTATAATGGAGCTACAAAATCCCTATCACTTACTAACATCATAATGTTGTAGCACAATGATTACTTCCTTGTTTGTGGTGATGCTGGTGTAAACAAACCTACTGTGTTTCCACTCTTATAAATGCATAATATATACAATTATGTACAGTATATAATACTTGATAATAAACCACCATCTTACTACTGATTTTTGTGTTTACTGTGTTTTTTCTCATTATTTGAGAGAGTTCTCCTTCTACTTATAAAAAAAAGTTAACTATAAAACAGCCTCAGGCAGGTCCTTCAGGAGGTATCCCAGAAAAAGGCATTTTTATCATAGGAGCTGACAGCTTCATGCGTGTTATTTCCCCTAAAGAGCTTCCAGTGGAACAAGATGTGGAGGCGAAAGACAGTGATATTCATGGTCCTGACCCTGCGTAGACCTAGGTTAATGTGTGTATTTGTGTTTTAATTTTTAACAAAAAGTTTAAAAAGTAGTAAAATAAAATGAAAAAAATTTAAAATAGAAAAACCTTATAGAATGAGGATATAAAAAAATTTTGTACAGCTGTACAATGTGTTTGTGTTTTAAGCTGTTTAAAGTTAAAGATTTATAAAGTTAAGAAGTTACAGTAAGCTGTTAATTATTTTAGAAAGAAAAATTAGAAATTCAGTACAGTGTCCATCAAGTCTATAGTAGTGTACAGTAATGTCCTAGGCCTTCACACTCACTTACCACTCACTCACTGACTCACCCAGAGCCACTTCCAGTCCTGCGAGCTCCGTTCATGGTTAAGTTCCCTATACAGATGTATCATTTTTTATTTTCATACAATATTTTCACTGTCCTTTTTGGGTGTTTAGATACACAAATGTTTACCATTATGTTCCAATTACCCTCAATATTCAGTACAGTCAGATACTATTCAGGTTTATAATAAATAAATACATTGTGAATATAATTACACAATGGAATATTTATAACAATAAAATGAGTTAGTACTACATGCATTAGAAATCTCAAAAATCCATTGATGGGGAAAAGCAAGGTTTACAAGAAAATATGCAGCATGGTGCAATTGTATAAAGTTTAAAACATATAATGCATTGGTTAGAAATGTAATAATATAGAGTAAATCTGTAAATACTTCATGGGAATAATAACTGAAAATTTTCTAGAATTTACCGTTAATGGGCAGCAAGAAAAACAACAGCAAGATCAAAAAACAGTTTATCAATGGTTCAAGTGGTATTTGTAAAATTTCTCACATGGGGTATTATGTACATTCATATGTGTTATATTCAATACCTGAGAAAATCTGAATGCCTTAAATTTTTGAAAAAAGAAATAAAATATAATCAACTTGTTTTTAAAAAGACATTAATGCTAAGAGGAAAATTATAAAGATATAAAATATAATCATTGCATACAAGCATGGATATATGCCTCAGCCTTCCACAATATCTGTATTGTCATAAAAACTGAATATTTAATCAAAACATTCATCACTTTCTTATTGGGAGGATGGAGAATGAACATAATTTTGTAGTATAGAGTTTGTGTAAAAGAACTAAATCCTTTTCCTTCACAATGGCAAGTTAAATGAGAATGTCCAAACCTAACATTTATTTAGGAATATTGATGTACAAAAAGAACCAGATAAATGATGGAATCCAGTTGCCTCTAGAGAGGAAGACTTGGGAATGTCCATTCTCATACCGCTATAAAGAACTACCTGAGACTGGGCAACTTATAAAGAAAAGAGGCTTAATTGGCTCACAATTCCACAGGCCAGGAAGGCCTCAGGAAACTTACAATCATGGTGGAAGGTGAAGGGGAAGCAGGCACATCTTACATGGCTGGAGCAGG